>NC_000001.11:231487151-231638667 GCF_000001405.40 Homo sapiens
ACAGATTAACATTGTGTGTCACTGTATAATAGCAGCTGAATGCAAAGTCCATGAACACAGATGAGTCAGCCATGCATGCTTACCCCACACGCTTCCTCTGGGCTGAGTCCCACCATATGGTCTGTCTTGCAATTGCTTACTACATTGTTTCCCTGACTTTTGTGCATTTTTACCTGGTCTTCATAACTCAGCAACAGCAAACTTTCCTTATATTCTCTTCTATTAAGCTGATTTAATTTTCAACTTCTTTTAAAATAATTACAGGCTGACAGAAAAGTTTCAATAACAGTACAAAAAGTTCTAATGTACTCTTCACCCAGGTTCCCTAAATGTTAACAGGTTACCACAATTGCTTTATCTTTATCTGTCTATATTGGTTTTTTTCTGAGTTATTTGGATGATTTACATACATAACATCCATTAATCCCTAATCCTTAATTGTGTATTTCCTAAAAACAAGAACATTCTCTTATATAACTACAGTAAAATGATCAAAATCAGAAAAAATACATTGATAATTATACATATTTTAATACAATATTATTATTTAATCTGTAGCCCTTATTCAAATTTAATAGATTGTCCCAATAATGTCCTTTACAGCAAAGGAAAAAATGTATTTCCTGGTCCAGGATTACATGTTGCATTTAGCTGTTAGGTCTTTTTTTTTTTTTTTTTTTTTTTTAATTAATAGAGTAGAAAGAACAGAGAGTTCCCAAATACCTCTCTCCTGTCTCCCCTCCATAGTTTGTCCTATTATTAACATCTGGCATTGGTGTGGCACATTTGTTACAATTGATGAGCCAATATTGACACATTGCTGTTAATTAAAGTCCAGAGTTTACAATACACTCTTTGCGTTGTATATTCAGTGGGTTTTGACAAAGGTATAAGGACAAGTATCCACTATTACAGAACAATTTCACTCCCTGAAAATACCCCGTACTCCACTTATACATCTTTCTCTCCCATAGAGCCTTTTTAGACTGGCCTATGCAATGTGCATTTAGGTTTCGTCCATGTCTTTTTGTGGCATGAGAGCTCTTTTTGCTTTTCTTGGTTGTGTGTTTTTTGTCTCCTCTAATCTGAATAAGCTCCTTAGCCTTCCTTTGTCTTTTATGACCCTGCCATTTTTGAAGAGTATAAGCCAGCCATTTTATAAAATGTCCCTAGCTTCACTTTTTTGTATCAACTTAAAATGTCTTTATTTTTAGAAAGTTAAGGTGTCCTTTAAATTGTGATATTTTCATTATAATTGTTATTTAAGTACATTTGTTAGTGCTCTAATTTATAAAGTTGCATTGGTCTTTAGCAACCTGACTTAATCCTGTTTTTCACATAAGTCTATTATTTTTTGTGTGCAGTTTTGCAGAAGGCAAATTTTTCTTTAGAAAGTATCAAAGAGAAAGTAGGGAACTGGAACTTCAAGATAGGCAACAAGTAATAATATTTGTACTATCAAAGTCCCTGAAAAAGCAAATAAAATAATGAAACAGAACTAATATTTAAAATTATAATCCAAAAAACTTTCCAAAAATAAAAAGCTGAATCTATGAATTGAAAGAGCTCACTTAGGTACATGAGAAAATTCATCCAGAATGATCAACTCTGAGACACATCCTAGTAAAATTCATAGACCCAAAGATGAAGTCCTTAAAATCTCCAGGTAACAAGATCAAATATGCAAAGAGGAAAATTAGACTAGCATCAGACTTCATAAAACAATACAAAGTCAAACAACTGAGGAACAAGTTTTTAAGGCACTCACTCAAATAAATTGTGAATTAAGAACTTTATTTTCAGCTAAATTGCCCCTCAATGTGACGACTATAGAGAAACAGTCTCAATATACAAAAATGTAGAGAATTCTGTATCAATAAATCCTTTTGAGGAATTTATTAGAGAATGAACTTTCATCCAACCAGTAATGGCAGGAGAAACTTGAGTAAAAGAACTGATGGTAAGCATTTAATAATCTATAACTATACATAAAACTAAAACAAAGGTGGAGATGAGGATGGAAAACTAGCATACAAATGTTATATATTATGATAAAGTAGAAATAATATATCTTAAAAATAGGCAGTATAAGAAGAGGGAGAAAGAAAAGTAGAAAAAGCTCATTGTTTGAGGAGTAATAGGGGGATGTTAAGAGATACTGGAAAAAAAGCAAGCCTGATAAACAAGACAACAAAAGGTTAATTAACAAACGGGGGACCAAGAGCACTGAAAAAGATATAAATACAAAGGTAACCACTAAGATAAAAATATAAACTTTTCTAGAAAACCATAAATAAAATAGTAAAGAATACAAATCTCATAAACACAGGAAATATAACAAAATATAATAAAATGTTATGATTAATACCAAACATGTCACTCATAGCAATAAATGTGAATAGGTTTAATTCACCTATTAAGACCAAAAGACTCTCAATTCGTCTGACAAAACTAAAGCACAGCTATATAGTAGATAGCAGGCACACCTAAAACAAAAAGATTCAGAAAGGGTAGGTGAGAATAAAAGGATGAAAAAACCATATACCAGGCAAATGGAAATAAAGAGGGAGCAGGGGTAGCAATATCTATATTAGATAATGTAGACCTGGAAATGTAAAAAAAAAACAAAAAACTTCTTATTAAATAACTCTTGGCTGAAATGAGAAATACAAGCTGAAATACATTTATTTACTTATTTTTTTTTGAGATGGAGTCTCGCTCTGTCGCCCAGGCTGGAGTAGAGTGGTGCGATCTCAGCTCACTGCTGGCTCTGCCTCCCCAGTTCACGCCATTCTCCTGCCTCAGCCTCCCCAGCAGCTGGGACTACAAGCGCCCGCCACCACGCCCGGCTAATTTTTTTGTATTTTTAGTAGAGACGGGGTTTCACCGTGTTAGCCAGGCTGGTCTCGATCTCCTGACTTCGTGATCGGCCCACCTCGGCCTCCCAAAGTGCTGGGATTACAGGCATGAGCCACCGTGCCTGGCTGAAATACATTATTTTAAACAAATAATAGATAATAAAAACACTACGTATTAGAATCTATGGGATGTATTTAAAACAGTACTTAGAGAAAAATTAATTACACTACCTTTTCTCTAAAAGTGAAAGGACAAAAATAATGAATTAAATTTATAGTTCAAACAATTAGAACAGTTTAAAACAAAAGAAAACAGTAAAGATAAAAGCAGAGATTAGTGAAATAAAGAATAGAAAAACAGTAGCTCTAACAAATTGAAATCTTGGCTTTTTGGGGGACGAAATAAAATAGGCAAACTACTAACTAAATTGATGAAGAACAAAGAAAGTATAATATGTAGAGTAAGAAGTGAAAAGGGCGAAATAACCTTTCAAACAAAAGAAATTTTAAAAGTCAGAAGAGACTACTTTGCTGACCTCTAGACAAATAAATTGGAAAATCTGGATGAAGTGCATAATTTCTTACAGAAATACATTTTACCAAAATTAGCTCTGTTAGGTTTACAAAATTTAACCAATTTCCATAGAAGAAATGAAGACAGTTATTAAGAAATCACCCTGCAAAAAAAAAAACGCCAGGCCCAGATGTTTTCACGAGTGAATTCTACCAAGTTTTGAAAGACCAGGTCCTAACAGCTTATAAATTATTTCAGAGCATGGAAAATGAAAGAAAATTTCCAAACTGTTTTTATGAAATAGGAATAATGTTAGTACCTAAACCAGACAAAGACAGTACAAAGAAAAAAAAACCCTACCGATCTATGTCACTTTTGAATATCAATGAAAAAATGTTAAGTAAATTATTAGCAAATAGAATCTAAAACCACACTAAGAAAATAGTACACCATTGCTAAGTGGGATTTATTTGGGGACTGCAAACTTGGTTCGATATTAGAAACTCCATTAATACTATTGTATTAGGGTTTTCTAGAGAAGCAGAACCAATAAAATACATATATCTATATAGTCATGTGCTGTATAATGATGTTTCCATTAACAATGGATTACATACAACATTGGCCTCATAAGATTATAAATGATTTTTTTTTTTTTTTTTTTTTGAGACGGAGTCTCGCTCTGTCACCCAGGCTGGAGTGCAGTGGCGCAGTCTCGGCTCACTGCAAGCTCCGCCTCCCGGGTTCACGCCATTCTCCTGCCTCAGCCTCTCCGAGTAGCTGGGACTACAGGCGCCCGCCACCACGCCCAGCTAATTTTTTTTTTATTTTTAGTAGAGACGGGGTTTCACCGTGGTCTCGATCTCCTGACCTCGTGATCCACCCGCCTCGGCCTCCCAAAGTGCTGGGATTACAAGCGTGAGCCACCGCGCCCGGCCTATAAATGATATTTTTACCATACATTTTCTATGTTTAGGTATGTTTAGATACACAAATACCCTTGTGTTACAGTTGCCTACAGTATTCAGTATAATAACATGTTGTACAGGTTTGTAGCCTAGGAGTAACAGGTTATGCCATATAGCCTAGGTGCGTAGTAGGCTATACGATCTAGGTTGGCGTACGTATGCTATATGGTGTTTGCACAATGACAAAATTGCCTAACAATGCATTTCTCAGAACATATTCCCAGCATTAAGTGATGCATGACAGTATATATAAAGAGATTTTTCATAGGTTATTGGCTCCCATGATTGTGGAGGCTGAGAAGCCCCATAATTGGCTATCTGCAAGCTGGAACTGAGGAAAGCCAGTGATATAGTTCCAGGCTAAGCCTGAAGGCTTGAGAACCAAGAGAATCTATGCTGTAAGTTCTAGCCCAAATTTGAAGGCCTGGGACCAATTTTCCAGCTCAAGCAGTCAGGCAGAGAGAGTGAATTCTCCCTTTCTAAGCCATTTTGTTTTGCTTAGGCTCTCAACGGATTAGATGACACCCACCCACACTGAAGAGGGCCATCAGCTTTACTTACTTAGCCTACCAATTCAAATGCTAATATTTTATGGAAACACTTTTGCAGACACATCCAGAATTATATTTAACCAAATATCTGGGCACCCAGTGGCCCACTCAAATTGGCATATAAAAGTGTCACAACTATATGTCACATTAGAAAATCCAAGGAAAAACTCATAATTATGTCCATCAATGCTGACAAGGTCTTTGACAAAAGTCAACAACCACTCGTTACTTTAAAAAAGAAACGCTCAAAATAGGAATTGAGACATACTTTCTTAACACAATATAGTATGTATAGCCTAGTCTTTTAGTCAGTATCTTATTTAATGAGAAAACACTAGAGATGTTTCCATTAAGATTTTAATTTTAAATTTTTGTGTGTACATAGTAGGCCTATATATTTATTGGAATTAATAGTCTTTACATTAAATTCAGCATGACTCTAAACTGTAATCTAATCTGGCGAGAATGAAATTCAGTGTGTTGTTACTGTATTTCTACTATCAATTCTGACATCTGTGTGACTTGATTTGTTCCTATTAAGATTTCTCGGCCGGGCGCGGTGGCTCACGCCTGTAATCCCAGCACTTCGGGAGGCCGAGGCAGGCGGATTAAAGGTCAAGAGATTGAGACCATCCTGGCCAACATGGTGAAACACCGTCTTTACTAAAAATACAAAAAAAATTAGCTGGGCGTGGTGGCGTGTGCCTGTAGTCCCATCTGAGGCTGAGGCAGGGGAATCGCTTGAACCGGGAGGCGGAGCTTGCAGTGAGCCGACATCGCCCCACTGCACTCCAGCCTGGCGACAGAGCGAGACTCCGTCTCAACAAACAAACAAACAAACAAACAAACAAACAAACAAAGATTTCTAAGAGAATAAACCTTCTGTGTCCCTCCTAGGAATTCTGTATGGTTGTAGGTATGTCCGGGGGTAGTAAAAAGGAGGGAACCGACAGGTCTTTCACACACACTTTCAACCCATCCTCCTATTTTCAGCCCCACACCTGACCTTCACTTTTGCCTGAAGTCTTAACCCTTTCTGTGATTTTGCAGGATGCCATCGACGAACTCTCAGCTTGTTCACTACCTCCTCCGTACATATAAGTAGTGTCTTTCTCTACCATGCTAACAGTTACGCTTACTTCCCTTTGCAGATTCTGAAAATCAGTTGAAATCTTGTATGTTACCATCTTTTTTCCTGATCTTTATTTTTATATGTCTATAAGTTTTTATTCCTTTATTAATATTTTATCATTTTACTATTAAACTTATTTTAATAAAGACTAAGGAAGGAAAGGAGATAAGAAATGTAGTCATTATCAACAGCTGGTGGTTATAACCATAATATAAATGTTAAGAAAATAATTCCTTGTTTCATCGAAGGAATTTAAATCATAAGAATACTCTTATTATGTGTGACTATGAGGTTGGAAAAGAACAACCATCTTTGTTTCAAAAATGACCAGAACATTTAGGTGATTTCCTCAAGGCCAAATTTATCTGTAAGATTTTTGTCCAAGAACAAAGAGTTTCTTTCCAGTTCTAATATTTTTGGGGAAAACCCCACAAGTTTTTGTGCAAATGGTAACATTTTTTAATTTTACGTAAGTTAATTGGTATGAGTCACTTCCTTTCATGGATAGAATACGTAAAGTCCCAGTGGGGTAACTGCTAGTAAGTTGTTCAGTATGGTGTGTTAGGATAAACGTTTTGGAGAAAAAAATATGTGTCCTGACCTTGGTAAGGGAAATAAATTTATCACATATAAGTTACCTCCATTCATTCTCAAGCACTTGATGGTTTCCTATTTTCATAGAAGTCCTATCACTGTGATCCTCCCACTTAGATATAGACTTTATAGTTTTCCCGTCTTTCACCACTCCCTTCTCCCTTTTCTATGAATGGAACGTAAGACATGTCTTTCTGTTCTGTGAAATCACCAAGTTCCCTCCCACCTCTGGGCCCTTATGTCTGCCTGAAATACTCTGACCTCTGCTGTCTTCATTTGGTTTCCTCCACACCGCAGATAAGATTGTTACTTCCCCCAGGGAATTTTTTTCTCAGCTTATTACAAGGAGAGTTAAGTGTTCCTATTGTATGCCTTCATAGCTTTCAATATTTTTCCTAATGCAGGCTTCTCATGTCCCGTTGTGACTGGCTACCTATTTACCCAAATCCTCTGATTAAATGTAAGCTCCAGAAGACCCAAATCATGTCAATTTCCTCACCATATTATTCTAATATTTACTTTGTATTTATACATCTTTTAATATAATCTACATATTTCTCTACAATCAAGAGGTTGCTTATTCATGAATAATAATTAAGACCATTTACTCATTAAACTATAGGCAGTCCTCCCTTTGCATAGTTCCAATATGCACAAATTCCAGTTATTAGCTTAAATAACACCAGTTCTTCAATAATCTGGTTTAAATTTCAGTTACTATAGTATTAATATATGAACTGTAATTGCTTAAAATGCACACTTTGCTGCTAGGTCTTCAGTCCTCAGATCACTAAGTAAATAAGAGATGCACATCACTGTTTTCAAAGTCTATCAGAGGCTGTTCCTATCAGTTCCTGTGCATCTTCTATTCAGTTCACACTCAGACAACAAAGCATGTAGTCATGTTGTCTCCTTGTCTTATGATAGACCCACGTGATATGTTACAAAATTGGATAATTGAAAGAGGACATAGCTAAAGATAAAAGTGCAAGAAAGTTTTCTGAGAAGATAGACTCTGGGGGGAAAAAAAGAAAGAAAAAAAGTGCTACAAAGAAAGAAAAGTGATAACATTGGAAGTGAAATTCAAATTACACATAAACAGAGTTACAGAAGAAAAAATTAACCATGGGAATGTTGACACTACCACCATTTGAGAGACTTAAGATATGCTGCCATAGCCAGTTAGTGAATGCAAACTTCACTAACTAAATGAAGAAAGTGATTGTGACTGAAAGGATGAAGATATCCCAGAAGACAGGACACCATTTAAAAAAACCTTCACACTAAAGGAACTCTCAAAGGGCAGTGTGGTGGCTCACTCCTGTAAACCCAGTGCTTTGGGAGGCCGAGGAGGGAGGATTACTTGAAGCCAGGAGTTAGAGACCAGCCTGGGCAACATAGCAAGACTCTGTCTCTACAAAATGATTTAAAAATTAGCTGGGGATAGTGGTATGCACCTGTAGTCTCAGCTACCCAGGAGGCTGAGGCAGGAGGATTGCTTGAGCCTAGGAGTTAAAAGGCTGCAGTGAACTAGGATCATGCCACTGGACTCCAGCCTGGACGACAGAGCAAAGGCCCTAAGGGACTCTCAGACATAATCCACCATGTTGAAAGTTCAGATGATAAAATATTGAAGCTGATCCAAACTTAGAAAGGAATATGACAATTTGCCAAGGCATAGAAACATGCTCATTTCATATAAAAGTTACACAATGAGAAGGCAAGCACTGTTCCAACCACTCGATTTTTTCTTTTCTTTTTTTTTTTTTTTTTGATGGAGTCTCGCTCTGTCACCCAGGCTGGAGTGCAGTGGTACGATCACTGCAACCTCTGTCTCCTGGGTTCAAGAAATTCCCATACCTTAGCCTCCCGAGTAGCTGGGATTACAGGCATGCATCACCATGCCTGGCTAATTTTTTGTATTTTTAGTAGAGATGGGGTTTCACTGTGTTGGCCAGGCTGGTCTTGAACTCTTGACCTCAAGTGATGTGCCTGCCTTGGCCTCCCAAAGTGCTGGGATTACAGGCGTGAGCCACTGTGCCTAGTCCACTTGATACTTTTTTTTTTTTTTTTGAGACGGAGTCTGGCTCTGTCGCCCAGGCTGGAGTGCAGTGGCGCAATCTCGGCTCACTGCAAGCTCCGCCTCCCGGGTTCACGCCATTCTCCTGCCTCAGCCTCCCCAGTAGCTGGGACTACAGGCGCACGCCACTACGCCCGGCTAATTTTTTGTATTTTTAGTAGAGACGGGGTTTCACTGTGTTAGCCAGGATGGTCTTGATCTCCTGACCTCGTGATCCGCCTGCCTCGGCCTCCCAAAGTGCTGGGATTGCAGGCGTGAGCCACCGCGCCCGGCTCACTTGATACTTTTAATAAAGAAATACAATACTTTATTTTTTCATGTTTCTAATTTTTAAATTACATGCTAAATATTACACTATTCTTTAACTTTGCTATGCACTTATATCTGACATTAGAGAGTTTTTAATATTTTGACAAACATCGTAATGATCATGGAACAATTGTAACTTTTCTGGCTGGGCACAGTGGCTCATGTCTGTAATCCCAGCACTTTGGGAGGCCAAGGCAGGAGGATCACTTGAGGCCAGGAGTTCAAGACCAGCCTAGCCAACATGGGGAAATCCCATCTCTACTAAAAATGCAAAACATTAGCTGGGCTGTGGTGGTGCATGCCTGTAATCCCAGCTACTCAGGAGGCTGAGGCACAAGAATCACTTGAACCCAGGAGGTGGAGGTTGCAGTGATCTGAGATCGTGCCACTGTACTCCAGCCTGGGTGACACAGCGAGAACCTGTCTAAAAAAAAATTGTAACTTTTCACATTGGTTATTAATAATGTTTTGTCTGGTTTCAGCTTGCACAGTCATTTTTATGGTCCCACACTACCGTACAAAGCAAGGACTGGCTGGAATTTATTGAAGGTCAACTATGTACCTGACATTATTCTAGGCCCTCGGTTTCAATGGTGAATGAAACAGACAAAGCCTCTGCCCTCACATACTTTCTTCCAGTGGGTGTGACAGATAATCACATTTATGTGCAATATATTTAAATGTATAAGAATTAAAGGACCATAATAAATGGAGAGAAAGGGAAATCACTGGGGGCTTGTATTTGTATTCAATTGAGGCAGTAGCCCAAGATACAGACTTGGAATGCTCCAACAATTATGTACCGAAAGTAGATAAAATAGTCAATGATGAAAAATAAAATATGAATGATAAAGGCATGAAATATGACAAGGGTGTCATCAATAAAGGTCAACTAAAATCCCATAATTGTAGTGTTGCCTTGGTGAAATAATTATATTCTGTGGTATGGTTGGTCCCCAGCATTGCAGGTTCAGACACTTCATTCTGCCAACATATCAAGATATGGTTCAGTTCTGTGGAGATCTTGAGAGATAATAATATAAACCTAGATGACAGTATAGTAACTTATGAAAAATATAACTAGCAAAATCATCAGCCCTTTATGCCCTATGGACTAAACTTTCTAATTTTGATTTATAGTCAGAAGTTTCCTTAATGAGTATATGCAGTAAAATCTGCAAGCTGCCTGCCTAGAATCTATTCCCCATCTAGCCCCCATCATATCCTTCCTAGTAAAGCTCCAATTTAGTTCATATGCAGCTTGTGTGATTAGGGGAAGCTGATTCCATACCCAAATTAGGAGATAGGCTCTATCTGGTCTAAGCCTATGACACTAATTCTGTCCCCTTGTCAAGTAATTAACTCAGGGATAAGATTTAAGCCAATCAGCACATGGCATTTCCATGGCAATAATATTGATGCAAATAGTGAGCACCTAACCTATACTAGTCTAATCAAACTGATGGGAATGTTCTTGTTCCTCTCTGTTCCTCTTCTTGTCTTCCCTTTCCCTTCCCTCTTTTCTTCCCTCCTTTTGTTAATGGTGAGAGACAGCCTGAGGATGAGGCTAGCATACACAGGGCAGAGCCAAGAATTAACAATGAAATAGAGCCAGAGCTTCCTTATGATGCACCTGGAACCTGTCCTACATTTATACTTCCTGTTCTGTGAAATAATACCTTTCCTTCACACTTAAATTCCAAAGTTCACACTTAACGACAGTCTGAGATTTCTCTTACTTGTGGCAAAGAGAATCTATGAGATATAGTATACCATGCATACAAAAGATGTTCATTGTATGACTCACCAATTTACTCTAGAGCTGCTGGATGCATCCTCCTAATGTTGGCCTCTCTGACCTCACCATCTCCTTCTGATTCTTAGATAGATTAATACCAATTATTCCAGAGCAACTTTTGGCTTATTAACTCAGCAATAATTAACTTTCTCTTCTGCTTTAGGCCTACAAGATATTCTATACGTAAGATGACTTTATATAATCAACACAAGATATATGTTTATAATTTAGCTCTCACTCTTCCCTATAATACAACATATCCACATTATCAATGGACATGAACATATTCCAAGGATAAACATCACTTCATGTTCAATGAATGGGTCCAAACTAAGGTCGTCTTCCAGTCCACTTGTATTAGTCCATTCTCACACTGCTAATAAAGACACACCCAAGACTGGGTAATTTATAAAGAAAAGAGGCTTAATTGACTCACAGTTCAGCATGGCTAGAGAGGTATCAGGAAACACAATCATGGTGGAAGGGGAAGCAAACATGTCTTTCTTCACATAGCAGCAGGAGGGAGACATGCTGAGGAAAAGGGGGAAAAGCCCCTTATAAAACCATCAGATCTCAAGAGAACTCACTATCATGAGAACAGAATGAGGGTAAATGCCCCCATGATTCAATTACTTCCCACTGGGTCCCTCCCATGGCATGTGGCAATTATAGGAACTACAGTTCATGATGAGATTGGGTGGGGACACAGCCAAACCATATCATTCCAGCCTTGGCCCCTCCCAAATCTCATGTTTTCACATTTAAAAACACAATCGTGCTTTCCAACCGTCCTCCAAAGTCTTAGCTGCTTCCAGCATTAACCCAAAAGTCCAAGTCCAAATGAAGTCCAAGTCTCATCTGAGACAAGGCAAGTCCCTTCTGCCTATGAGCCTGTAAAAACAAAAGCAAGTTAGTTACTTCTTAGATACAATGCGCGCACAGGCATTGGGTACATACACCCATTCCAGATGGCAGAAATTGGCCAAAACAAAGGGGCTACAGGCCCTATGCAAGTCTAAAATCCAATAGGGCAGTCATTAAACCTTAAAGTTCCAAAATGATCTCCTTTAACTCCATGTCTCACATCTAGGTTATGCTGATGCAAAAGGTGGGCTCCCATGGCCTTGGGCAGTTCTGCTCCTGTGGCTTTGCAGGGTAAAGCCCTCCTCCAAGCTGCTTTCATGGCTAGCATTGAGTGTCTGTGGCTTTTCTAGGCACACAGTGCAAGCTGTCAGTGGATCTATCATTCTGGAGTCTGGTGGCCCTCTTCTCACAGATCCACTAGGTAGTGCCCCAGTGGGGGCTCTGCGTGGGGCTACAACCCCACATTTCCTGTCTGCAGTACCTTAGCAGAGGTTCTCCATGAGGGCTCCATCCCTGAAGTGAACTTCTGCTTGGACTTCCAAGTGTTTCTATACATCCTCTGAAATCTAGATGGAGGTTCCCAAACCTCAATTCTTGACTTCTGTGCACACGGAGGCCCAACACCACGTGGAAGCTGCCAAGGCTTGGGGCTTGTACCCTCTGAAACAATGGTCTGAGCTGTACATTGGTAATGGCTGGAGCAGCTGGGATGCAGGGCACCAAGTCCTGAGGCTGCACATAGCTGAGGGGCACTGGATTCAGCCCAGGAAACCATTTTTCCCTCCTAGGCCTCCAGGCCTGTGATGGCAGAGGCTGCCCTAAAGGTCTCTGACATGCCTTGGAGACAATTTCCCCATTGTCTAGGTGGTGAACATTCAATTCCTCATGACTTATGCAAATTTCTGCAGCCAGCTTGAATTTCTCCCCAGAAAATGGGGTTTTCTTTTCTATCTCATTGTCAGGCTGCAGATTTTCCAAACTTTTATGCTTTGCTTTGTCAAAGCAGTTTTCTCTGATTTGTTTATGCTCTGCTTTGTTCAAAACACTTTGCCACTTAGAAATTTCTTCTGCCAGATACCCTAAATCATCTCTCTCAAATTCAGAGTTCCACAGATCTCTAGAGCAGGGGCGAATGCTGCCAATCTCTTTGCTAAAGCATAACAAGAGTCACCTTTGCCCCAGTTCCCAACAAGTTCCCCGTGTCCATCTGAGACCACCTCAGCCTGCACTTTGTTTTCCATATCACTATCAGCACTTTGGTCAAAGCCATTCAACAAGTCTTCAGGAAGTTCCAAACTGTCCCAGATTTTCCTGTCTTCTGAGTCCTCCAAACTGTTCCAACCTCTGCCTGTCAGCCAATTCCAAAGTTGCTTCCACATTTTTGGGTATCTTTACAGCAGCATCCTACCCCTGGTACCAATTTACAGTATTACTCCATTCTCATGCTGCTAATAAAGACATACCTGAGACTGGGTAATTTATAAAGGAAAGAGGTTTAATTGACTCAGTTCAGGATGGCTGGAGAGGCCTCAGGAAACTTACAATCATGGCAGAAGGGGAAGCAAGTATGTCCTTCTTGACATGACATCAGGAAGAAGTGCCAAGCAAAATGGGGAAAAGCCCCTTCTAAAATAATCAGATCTCATGAGAACTCACCCACGATCATGAGAACAGCATGAGGGTAAATGCCCCCGTAATTCAACTACCCCCCACCAGGTCCCTCCCACGACATAGGGGGATTATGGGAACTATACTTTGAAATAAGATTTGGGTGGGGACATTGCCAAACCATATCACCACTCAAATCTCCACTCTTCATACCTGGCTCTAGTATGTCAGATTCTATTATCTCAAGCAGGTACAATTATATTTTGGAATAAATGAAAATTTTACTGAAGCTGAATTTGACCTGGAGTTTTCTCAGCTCCAGAAGAACAGTAAGTGACTTCTTCTTATGCAATCTCCCAAACACAAATGTAATGTCACCCATGGGACTGCTATGAATAGATGTTACTAGTTCCAATGATAGATTCCACATCAGCAAACTGTGACATTCTTTGGGATTAGCTGCCCCTTTTGTCAGTTTGGCTTCTACAAGGAAGTTCAACCATTATGAAATGCAAGATATTTTTGCACACGGCTGTCCTGACCTACAGTAATCATAAAACAAGAGCGAGATCTGAAATAGTACCTTTGTATTGACTGAAGATATGAAGTAAGAACTTTATAGCAAGAACTAAAACAAAAACAACAAACAGCAAGTGGATGTTTACAACAGGAGAGACTATCTTAGTCCATTCAGGCTGCTATAACAAAATATCTTAGACTGGGTAATTTATAAACAACAGAAGTTTATTGCTTACAGTTCTGGAGGCTGATATGTTCAAGATCAAGATGCCTGAAGATTTGGTGTCTGGTGAGGGTCTGTTCCTCAATGATGGTCCTTCTATGTGTCCTCACATGGCAGAAAGGCAAAAGGGCTCCATTAAGCCTCTTTTATAAGGGCAATAATCTCATTCATTACCTTAGTCACCTCTCAAATGCTCCACCTCTTACTCTATTGCATAGAGATTAGGTTTCAACTTATGAATTTTGGAGAAATACAAACATTCAGATCATGGCAGAGGCATTACAACTACTCAATTCAAATGGCCTCCTTTCCCCCAGAACTCTATTAAATGAAGCACAAAACAGCATTTTTAAATGGGTAAGTAGCCAAGATAGTGGGCTAAAAGTACAATACTAGTAGCTAGTATTTTTTGACTATATACTATGTGTCAGGTAACACCATAGAACCTTTATGTGTTATCTCTTTTGGTCCTTACCACAGTTCTGTGAAGCAGAGGTTGCTCTACTTACTTCCAAAAAAATTTTTTTTGAGACAAGGTGTCATTCTGTTGCCCAGGCTGGAGTGCAGTGGCATGATCTCAACTCACTGCAACCTCCTCCTCCTGGGCTCCAGTGATCCCCCCACCTCAGCCTCCCATGTAGCTGAGACCACAGGTGTGTGCAACCATGCCTGGCTAATTTTTGTATTTTTTTGTAGGGACAAGATTTTGCCATGTTGCCCAGGCTGGTGTCAAACTCCTGGGCTCAAACGATCCTCCTGACTTGGCCTCCCAAAGTGCTAGGATTACAGGCGTGAGCCACCAGGCCTGGCTTTCAAATCTTAATGAAAATGTCTTACCCAAGTCCCATAGCAAGTAAGCACTAGAGATAAGATATGCTCATGGGTTGGCCTGGCTCTGAACTCTATGGTGTTTCTACATCTCCAAGCAGCATTTACTTGGATTTTTCTTTTAACTGACAGAATCATGTATATAAGTACTTACATGGAGTTATGGTTTTACCTCAAAGAAAAAAACTGAAGTATATAGATTTAGTCCTATCTATATGCCAGTGTTTTTTTTTCCTTGTTTATATCAAATCCTAAGGCTCAGCCTTTATATCTAGATTAGGTTTCATTACACAAGGCACATGGTTGATAAATTTGAGTTCAAATGCTCCATTTCAGAGAGCTTTACAAATCACAGGCATCGGTTCATTTCTATAAAGCCAAAAATACATTTTAAAAGTTAATAAATGGTGATAGTTTGTCCCCAAAATGGATGTGCCATTTATATCTTCACCAGTAATGTATGAATGTGTATTTTCCCTTCCTCTTAACAGCACTGGGTGTTATCAAACTTTATATTTTTTGCTTATCTGATAAGTATACATAGTATTTTGTTTTAATTTGCATTTCTGTAATTGAGAGTGCACTGTCATTGATTTATTGTCAATTTTTATCTCTTTTTTCAGAGATCCGTCTGGTTATATTTTTGCCCATTTTTCTTTTAACTTTTATTTTCGTTTCAAAGGTCCATGTGCAGGTTTGTTATACAGGTAAACTGCATTTCATGAGGTTTGGTGTACAGATAACTTCATCATCTGGGTAGTACGCATAGTATCTAACAGATTTTTTTTTATTCCTTCCTTCCTCCCAGCCTCCACCTTCAAGTAGGCCCGTGTGTCTGTTGTTCCCCTCCTAGTATCCATGTGTTCTCACTGTTTAGCTCCCATTTAAAAGTGAGAACACTCCGTATTTGGTTTTCTGTTCCTGTGTCAGTTTGTGATATGGTTTGGCTGTGTCTCTGCCTAAATCTTATCTTGAATTGTAGCTCCCATAATTCCCACTTGTTGTGGGAGGGAGCTGGTGGGAGATAATTGAATCATGGGGGTGATTTCCCCCATACTGTTCTCGTGCTAGTGAATAAGTCTCACAAGATCTGATGGTTTTATAAGGGGAAACTCCTTTCACTTGGTTCTCATTCTCTCTTTGCCTGCTGCCAGGTAAGACGTACCTTTCACCTTCTGCCAAGACTGTGAGGATTCTCCAGCCATGTGGAACTGTGAGTCCATTAAACCTCTTTTTCTTTATAAATTACCCAGTCTCAGGTATGTCTTTATCAGCAGCATGAAAATGGACTAATACAGTTTGCTTAGGATAATGGCCTCCAGCTCCATCCATGTTGCTGCAAAGGACATGATCTCATTCTTTTTTATGGCTGCATAGTATTCCATGGTGTATATACAGTACCCTATTTCCTTCACCCAGTCTGCCATTGATGGGCATTTAGGTTGATTCTATGTTTTTGCTATTGTACGTAGTGCTGCAATGAACATATGCATGCAGGTGTCTTTATGGCAGTATATACCCAATAATGGGATTTCTAGGTCAAATGGTAATTCCATTTTTAGTTCTTTGAGGAATTGCCACACTGTTCTACACAATGGCTGAACTAATTTACACTCCCACCAGCCGAATATAAACATTCCCCTTTCTCCACAACCTCACCAGCATTTATTTTTTGACTTTTTAATAATAGCTATTCTGACTGTTGTGAAATGGTATCTCATTGTGATTTTGGTTTGCATTTCTCTAAAGATTTGTGATGCTGGGAATTTTTTCATATGCTTGTTGGCCGCATGTATGTCTTCTTTGGAAAAGTGTTCATGTCCTTTGCCCACTTTTTAATGGGGTTGTTTTTTGCTTGTAAATTTGTTTAATTTCCTTATAGATTCTGGATATTAGACCTTTGTTGGATGCATAGTTTGCCAATATTTTCTCCCACTCTGTAGGCTGACTGTTTACTCTGTTGATTTCTTTTGCTGTGTAGAAGCTTTTAAGTTTAATTAGACCCCATTTGTCAATTTTTGTTGTTGTTGTTGCAACTGCTTTGGCATCTTTGTCACAAAATCTTTGCCAAGTCCTATGTTCAGAATGGTATTTTCTAGGTTATCTTACAGGGTTTGTATGGTTTTACACTTAAGTCTTTAATCCATCTTGAGTTATTTTATTTTATTTTTTTTTTTGAGATAGAGTCTTGCTCTGTTGCCCAGGCTGGAGTGCAGTGGTGTGATCTCGGCTCACTGCAAGTTCCTCCTCCCGGGTTCACGCCATTCTCCTGCCTCTGCCTCCCAAGTAGCTGGGACTACAGGCGCCTGCCACCCACCTGGCTAATTTTTTTGTATTTTTAGTAGAGACGGGGTTTCACCGTGTTAGCCAGGATGGTCTCGATCTCCTGACCTTGTGATCTGCCTGCCTCGGCCTCCCAAAGTGCTGGGATTACAGGCATGAGCCACCGCACCCAGCCGAGTTGATTTTTATATGTAGTATAAAGTAGGGGTCCAGATTCAATCTTCTGCATATGGCTAGCCAGCTATCTCAGCACCATTTTTGAATGGGGAGTCCTTTCTCCATTGCTTGTTTTTGTTAACTTTGTCAAAGATCAGACGGTTGTAGGTGTGTGGCATTATTTCTGGGCTCTCTATTCTGTTCTATTGGTGTATGTGTCTGTTTTGTACCCGTACCATGCTACTTGGGTTACTGTAGCCCTGTAGTATAGTTTGAAGTCAGGTAATGTGATGCCTCCAGTTTTGTTCTTTTTGTTTAGAATCGCCTTGGCTATTTGGGCTCCTTTTTGGTTCCATATAAATTGTAAAATAGTTTTTTCTAATTCTGTGAAAAATGCCATTGGTAGTTTGACAGAAATAGCATGTAATCTGTAAATTGCTTTGGGCAGTATGGCCATTTTAATGATATTGATTCTTCCTATCTATGAGCATAGAATGGTTTTCCATTTGTGTCATCTCTGATTTCTTTGAGCAGTGTTTTGCAGTTCTCATTGTAGAGATGTTTCATCTCCTTGGTTAACTGTATTCCTAGGTATTTTATTATTTTGGTAGTAATTGTGGGTGGGATTGCATTCCTGGTTTGGCTGTTGATTTGGATGTTGTTTGTGTATAGGAATGCTATTGATTTTTGTATGTTGATTTTGTATCCTGAAACTTTACTAAAGTTATCAGATCAAGGAGCTTTTGGACAGAGGTTATGTGGTTTTCTAGATCTAGAATCATATTGCCTATAAACAGTAATAATTTGACTTCCTCTCTTCCTATTTGGATGTCTTTTCTTTCTCTTGCCTGATTGCTCTCACCAGGATTTCCAATACTACGTTGAATAAGAGTGGTGTGAGAGATGGCATCCTTGTCTTATGCCAGCTTTCAAAGGGAATGTTTCCAGCTTTTGCCCATTCAGTATGGTGTTGGCTGTGGGTGGCTATAAATGGCTCTTAATATTTTGAGGTATATTCCTTCAATGCCTAGTTTGTTGAGGGCTTTTCACAGGAAGGGATGTTGAATTTTATCAAACACTTTTGCTGTATCTATTGAGATAATCATGTGGTTTTCGTTTTTAGTTCTGTTTATGTGATGAATCACACTTATTGATTAGCATATGTTGAACCAACTTTGCATCCCAGGGATAGAGCCTACTTGACTATGGCGGATTAGCTTTGAGATGTGCTGCTGGATTTAATTTGCTAGTATTTTGTTGCAAAATTTTGCACCTATGTTCATCAAAGGTATTGGCCTGACGTTTTCTTTTTGTTGTGTCTCTGCCAGGTTTTGGTATCAGAATGATGCTGGCCTCATAGGAAAAACTGGGAATTAGTCCCTGCTCCTCAATTTTTTAGAACAGTTTCAGTAAGAATGGTATCAGCCCTTCTTTATACATCTGGTAGAATTCGGCTGTGAATCCATCTGGTCCTGGGCTTTTTTTTTGGCTGTAGGCTTTTTATTAGCAACTCAATTTCTGAACTCATTATTGGTCTGTTCATGGATTCAGTTTCCAAGTAACTGTATGGTTTTGTGTGATTTTCTTAGTATTGATTTCTATTTTTATTGCACTGTGGTCTGAGAATGTGGTTGTTTCTATTTTTTCAAAATTTCTGAGTATTTTTTATGTCCAGTTGTGTGGCTGATTTTGGAGTATGTGCCATGTTGTGATGAGAAGAATGTGTATTATTCTCACATTCTTTTGGGGTGGAGAGTCCTGTAGCTGTCTATTAGGTCCATTTGGTCGAGTGTTGGCTTCAGGTCCTGAATATCTCTGATAATTATCTGCCTTGATGATCTGTCTAATATGGTCAGTAGGGTGTTGAAGTCTCCCACTTATTGTGTGGGAATCCAAGTCTCTTTGTAGCCTCTAAGAACTTGCTTTATGAGAGATGTGCAAATCTTGTGTTCACTTGGACACATAGAGGCTATTGTAGGTTAGATCTCAGGGGATAGGGAAGCCTGAGGAGAGAGAGATGGGGGCACAGCTGATTGGTAGAGCATACAGAGCACATTCATCAATTAAGTTTGCCATCTTATATGGGTGCTGTTCGTGATGCCCCAAAATAATTACAGTAGTAACATCAAAGATCACTGATAACAGATCACCATAACAGATATAATAATAATGAAAAAGTCTGAAATATTGTGAGAATTACCTTTATCAAGCTTTGGCATGATATTATCCTAATTTTATTAATATATTTAAAGTATTATTTCTTGTGTAAATATCTTTAAAACAGTTCTAAAATAATTTATTATATATAATATTTAAAATTTATAGTAAAAAATGCTGAGGCTAAGGGCATGAATGAAAGTGATGAAATAAGAATGTCACAACATTTTATTGCATTCCAAGAGTAAATGTAATAACTCAGGAATATGTAGCTATATAATACTTCAGTTTACATTCAATTGATATTATGGTCATTCAAAGGATCTGGAATGATTTAAATCCTGGTGAAAAGAAATGGAATGCCATCTCATTGCCTTTCCAATTTCTAACTTTCAGAATTATGTGGGAGGTATGTGGCATATTTATGTATATTAACTCAATATGCATATCTGTAACATAAATTTTCTATATACTGACATGTATGTTCAAAGGCGAGAGAAAAATTTGTGTTCCATTCTTTACTGGAAATCAGAACACATTAAAATAAATGCTTATTAGGTAAATGTTGTAAGTTTAATGGTTTGTTGCAACTATCATTTAAGCATCTCTATGTATCAGACACTTTCCATACATCATCTCACTTAATTAGCATCATTACACAGATGAGGCCCAGAGAGATAAAATTATATGCTTGAAAGCATAAGCTTCAACTCGCTGGCAGTCAGTCCTCAAAAACAGGCTCATTTAACTCCCGAAACTATGCTATTTTGCTCCACATTTTGCTCCACAGTGCTGCCTCTAAATATGTCCTACTCCAATACCAGGACATACTTTGGCTGCTAGGGATCATTTCAAATATCTATATTTGAGTATGGAATGTCTGGGACTATGTGTAAACCGTAACAGCCATAGATTTTCTTGTTATACAGGTACCTGTTAATCACTGAGAACCAAGAAAACTCATTGTGAAATACCAGATATGAGAAACTACATTTTCAGTAGACTTGAAAGCTGCACAAAGTATGGCAGAAACTCATACTTTTACAGGCTTATTTAGGCACTTTCAAAAGAGTGCTGTTAAAAATTAAAGGTATTTCATTTATTCTGACATGCCAGATAGGAGAGCACGTCTGCTTTCTTTCTCAGAGCTCTCAACAGTCTCACCAAAACCAGAGGCAGATTTGAGATTAAGATCAGATGTTCTCCAGGTAACATTAATCTATCCATCACTCAATTCTGAGTCAAAGCAACAGTATGACACAGACTCCTAAACTTGTGTCAGCTCCAACGTGCTCTGAGCCAGGTACAACAGCTTTGCTCCATGCAGTAGCGGGTGGAACCTTTGGACATGAAACTGTCATATTCATAGAAAAGATGCAGGGGAAGTTTCTGCTTGGTTCATGTCATAATAGAATCATTTGTTTTGCCCAAACAAGTTGATTTATTTAGGGATTTATTGGTTTACCCTGGCCAAACACGTTGATCAAACCTGCTCTGAGCCCAGCAGAAATAGGCCATGCAGTTTAACAGTAATAGAGACAAAAATAAAACTTGTTTGAAGTCAGGTAGCTTGACTAATCACGGAAGGAATTTGTTCTACACTTGCACACACCCTTCATCACAACTTGCACTTAGACTCTTTCGTCAATTTAAAATTAAGAATGGCAGAGACTTTCCATTACAGATGGTTTAGTCGGTTCTTTTAAAAGTATCTCATGACAGAGTTAAATATAGATCAAAATCACGTCAATATATAGTTACCAAGTTACGTACAAGCACTATGCTTTAAAGAGAAAAACAACAAAAAAGAAAAAAGGCATCTCCTATATTTAGGGGGTTGGTACAGGTGCTTGGTCTTTCTATGAAGCCCTATTTCAAAGAGTATAAATCCATGGTGCTCTTTTAAGAGACAAACTTAACTTCTAAATAATTATAGCTTTCTAGGTATCTTTCATCCAAAACACAATGTTTGACAATCTAGTTTATTTTTGAAACCGGAGAAGAGAAAAAGGCCTAGAAAATTTGTCTCCTGACAAGAAAGTGACTAGCGCAGTCTGCTGGCTCCATCTCACCAAGTCAGAAATGAAAGCAAAGCAAGGATTTGATGACTCAACATAAAAATCATGAGAAACCTCTGTACAGACTAAAGGATTCATTATCTCGTGTGAGGAAGGGGATGGCCAGCGGAGGCCTCAGCCTGGTGAGGAGAATGGCCTGGGGTGAAGGGCCACTGAAGGAAAAGGCATAAACGTAAGGACCGGCTTTTAAATTCTAACCCTGCTTCTCTCCCACATTGCCCTGGGAAGACCATCATGGAAGCAATCGCTGGCCAGCTGGTATCTCAGGATAATACTAGGGCAGCCTCGAAGGCCTGCGCGGGTGAGGAGAGGTACTGATGAAAACAGAAGCTAACTGATCAGACTTTCTCAAACACTCACACCTGCACTCCCTCCCTCACCAACCACCAAGACTTGCGCATTACACTCTAAGTAGAGTGTCTCTTCCCAGTGCGGGGTCTGTTACTCGAAGAGCAAATCCCTGATCAAAGGAGTTTGTCTGTGTGGTGGCAAGAAGCAGGGCTGAGACCAGCCCCTTCCTGATCCCTGGGGCTCTCTGCCCTGAGGCTCATCTTTTATTACTTTACAGTCACCAAGAGGAACACAAACTAGGCCCTGGGCTTTGGCCCTTCCTAATTGGAAAAACAACAAAACTGAATTGCATACACTACTTGAATTTTGAAAGCAGAATTATTGGTACAGATAGGCTCTGAATTTAAAAATAAGCAACAAATATCCTCACGGAAGATATTAGTAATATGAAGCTGGTACAAAAGGTCAAAGAAAGAACAAGTAGAAATAATAGGTGTGAACAATATAATAAAGAACACAATAGATAATAATAATAACTAGCATTTATATATTATTTACTATGTACCAGGTAATGGTCTATGTGCATTCATATACAGTACCAATACATTTAGCTCCCACGACAATCCTCCAAGGAAGGTACTATTATTATTTGTACTTTTCACATGAAAGAATTGAGGCACAAAGAGGTTAAGTAAATTGCCCAAGGGGAAGCTAGGATTTAAACACAGATATCGTGGTTCTGTGAAACAAATAGCAGATGGATACAGCCAAAGCAGGAATTAGTAAGCAAGATAAATAGAAGGGAGAGGAAGATAAAGGTAAGTGAAATGAAGTGTAGAAGTGCCAACATCTGGAAAATAAGAGAAAAGAAACAAACTAAGGGGATAAAATATTTGAAGCTAATGGTGGTAAATTCTGCAAAATTAAAGATGGAAGTCTCGAGATTTAAAGGGCTCAGAGAAGGCTAAAGAGGAGAGATAAGGAAAAACCTATACCTAGACATAACACAATGAAATGTAAGAATAGCTAAGATACCTGGCTAACACGGTGAAACCCCGTCTCTACTAAAAATACAAAAAATTAGCCGGGCGTGGTGGCGGGTGCCTGTAATCCCAGCTACTTGGGCAGCTGAGGCAGGAGAATGGCGGGAACCCGGGAGGCGGAGCTTGCAGTGAGCCGAGATCGCGCCACTGCACTCCCGCCTGGGCGACAGAGCGAGACTCCGTCTCAAAAAAAAAAAAATAAATAAAATAATAGCTAGGATGAATACAACATTTAAAAGCTTGTTTTTCAAAGAAACAATAATTAGATTGACACATATTTTATCGGATTGTTGGACACAGGAAGATAATGAAGTAATAGAAGTGCTGAAGAAGCATTTTGTGCCTAGAATTTTATATTCAGCCAAACTCTCATTTAAATGTGTGTAATAATAATATTAAAGATAGTCTCGGGCATACAACAGGTTTGTCACACAAAAAGTTATTTAAAAAATATTACTGGAGGCCAGGCATGGTGACTTACGCCTAGTAATCCCAGTACTTTGGGAGGCCGAGGCAGGCAGATAACGAGGTCAGGAATTCATGACCAACCTGGCCAATATGGTGAAACCCCGTCTCTAGTAAAAAATACAGAAATTAGCTGGGCGTAGTGGCGTGCGCCTAGTCCCAGCTACTCAGGAGGCTGAGGCAGGAGAATCGCTTGAGCCTGGGAGGCGGAGGTTACAGTGAGCCCAGATCGTGCCACTGCACTCCAGCCTGGGCAACAGAGTGAGACTCTGTCTCAAAAAAAAAAAAACATTACTGGAGAAGCAGTCAAATGAGAAAAACTCAAGGGAATGCTGCAACAGATCGAAAATATAGAGGATGAATTGATAATTTGATAAAAAAAGGGCAAACATTTTTTGAAAAACATTTTTTAAAACCTCACAGTTAAAATTGTATCTATAAGAAATGTTAGAAGCTAAAGTGCTTGTCTGAGTGGAAGATATAGATGCAGATAAGCCTAAGAAATCAATTCAGTTGGGTTAAGAAAAGGACAATTATCATAAGAAAAAAAGTAACAAAAGGGTAGCACTTAAACCAACAGAAGAAAATTTGATCCAACCAATGAAATATAAGAAAGAAAATTTGATCCAACCAATGAAATATAAAAAGACAGTTGTAGGCTGAGTGCAGTGGCTCATACCTCTAATCCCAGCACTTTGGGAGGCCAAGACGGGTGGATCCCTTACCTGGCCAACAGAGTGAGATCCTTTCTCAAAATCAATAATTAATCAATCAATAAAAAAAAATTTTTAAATAATGAAGTGAAAACTGTTACTAAAGAAAAAGAATTTCATGGTTAAAGGAAAAACAGTTCAGTTTAACAGGAATACACACACACACACACACACACACTTCATGGGCTAATTATTTTGGTGATAAATTCCACCGACATTTCAGGAAGAAGTAATGTTAGTTTTACACAAATTCATCCAGAGAAATAAGATATGGAAAGAAGAACCACTCCCCAATTTGTTCTTATGAAGATACCCAAACTCGAAAAAAGACATCCAAAAAAAAAAAGAGAACAAAGAAAAATTAAGGGACACTTTTTTGTTTTTGGAGACAGGGTTTCATTTCCGTCACCCAGGCTGGAGTGCAGTGGCATGATCTTGGCTCACTGCAGCCTCAACCTCCCTGACTCAAGCCATGCTCCCACCTCAGCCCCCCAGGAGCTGGAACTATAGGCCGAAGACACCACGCAGCTAATTTTTGTATTTTTTGTAGAAACAAGGCTTTGCCATGTTGCCCAAGCTGATCTTGAACTCCTGAGCTCAAGCGTTCTACCCACCTTGGCTCCCAAAGTGCTGGGATTACAGGAGTTAGCCACTGCGCCCGCCAACACTCTCTTTTGTAAAGACAAATGCAAAAATCAAGACTTGTCATAAATTGTATGTCCATAGCCTATACTGTTTAAATTACTTTAACTTTATAGTAAGTCTTGATGTTTAATACAGCAAATGTTAAACCAAGCTTTCACTACAGAAATAAACAGAAATTTATAGGCGCTCATTATCCTTTTAGACAAAGTTGTATTTGCTTTGCTATTGTTTTTGTTTAGGATTTTTGCAACTATTTCACAAACAGAAACAAAAATATTTAAATTGTTAATAGAAATTTCAGTTTTCTTTAGTCTCTGGCTACTCCAAGTACTGTTGCTGTGAATGTTCTTTTATGAGACTCTTGGTGCGTGAATGTACCAAGAGTGAAACTGCTAGGTCATGAGACATGCACAGGTTCAACTTCAACAGATAATGACAAAATGTTTTACAAAGTGATTGAACTTCATTTGCAGAGGTCACATGGGCCTAGATGGTCACAGGTAATGACATTTTGCCATTGTGTACTGTGTGTGGGCTGCTATCTTCTCATCTTGGAATGTAAAACAGGACTCTCTTTTGCTTTCATCTTTTCCTCATGACCAACTCTGTGTTCTCCATAGTTCCCTGTGATTCACTTTGTGGTTACAATTTCTGAATCAGTTAAAGTTCTTGTGCAGCAAGCAATAGAAATGGACTCTAACTTAGGTAATAAGAAAGAATTTATTTGAGGTTCTGACGAGCAACCAGCATCAAAATTAATGATGAACAATGAGTCCTTGGGGAGAACAGGAACCAGTGCAGTTTCAGGGATTTTATCCTTGGGAAGTCAAGCAAATGACTCAGCTACAATCATTTTTCCTCCTAGGGTGTGTCTGTTTTAAAGCCAAATTTCATGAGAGATAATAGATTGATTTAGGATTATATGGCATAGAGAAGAACAAATGCCTAAAGGAAATAATACTGGGCATGGCAAAACAACATATTACATAATATAATAATATAATAACATCTAATAATACATTCTAATATAAGCACTTTTGGAAAAATAAAAAAAAAACAAAATGGGGAAGATAGGAACCTACCATGTCCCACTAACGAAAGATATTCACTGTTATTATTTTTCTAAATAATGTTTCCTCAATAGATTAGGAAAGCTGCCATAGACAATTTGGAACAATTCAAATGTATACAGAAAATTGAAAATGCCAGTAAATATGTAGATATAAACAATCTTTACATTTTGGTGGTATTCATGCCTTCATTAAAAATCTTAAAAGTCGGCCAGGCACAGTGGCTCACGCCTGTAATCCCAGCACTTTGGGAGGCCAAGTCAGGTGGATTACCTGAGGTCAGGAGTTCGAGACCAGCCTCACCAACATGGTGAAACCCTGTCTCTACTAAAAATACAAAAATTAGCTGGGTGTGATGGCACATGCCTGTAATCCCAGCTACTTGGGAGGCTGAGGCAGGAGAATCGCTTGAACCCGGAAGATGGAGGTTGCAGTGAGCCAAGATCGTGCCATTGCACTCCAGCCTGGGCAACAAGAGTGAAACTCCGTCTCAAAAAAAAAAAAAAAAAATCTTAAAGTTAAAAGGTTTTTTTCTGGCTGGGTGCAGTGGCTTACGCCTGTAATCCCAACACTTTGGGTGGCCTAGGTGGGAGGATCACTTGAGGCCAGGAGTTTGAGACCAGCCTGTGCAATATAACGAGTCCCTGTCTCCACAAACAATTTTTTAAAATGAATTAAATTAAAAAAATTTTTAATCACAACCATAATACATGCTGGGTTACACTGCAAAAATATATACAATATAAAGCAAACATCTATAATTCTGACTCTCAGAAAGAATCACTGTTGAAAGTTTTTTTCCATCCTTTCTTTTTATGCATATATTGTTACTATTTTAATGAAAATTGGATTCTATTTTTCTTACATTAAATACTATCTTACTTTTATGCCACTGAACTCTCTTATCTTGAAAGCATCTCCATGTTAGTACATACAGTTCTAACCTCATTCTTTTAACAGCCCTATATTATCCTACTGAATGAATATACCATAATTTGCTGAAATAATCCTACTGATGGACATTTGTTTCAGGTTTTTCACTATTCCTATTTCAGTGAAAAATCCTTGGCCATATATTATGCTGACTTGTGTTTCTGAATCAGTATTTCCATAAAATGCACATATTTAATAGATTGATATCATGGCATAGGTGAACTTACGTCTTGCTTTATAAGTTTGCATATCACAAACTTCTCAAATGTTATCAAAATCTGAATAATTATATTAACTCATAAACCCTGTATTAATATTTCATTTCATACAGGTGTCATGAGTTAATATAATTATTCCCACATTTGAGAGTTTTAAGTTGTTCTCAAGTATGATTAAGAGAAGTAATGCTTCATTGAATATTTCTGTATCTAAAGCTTTATTTGCATCTCAATAATTTTAGGGGAGATTCCTGGGAGTGAAATGGTTGGAACAAATATTAAGAACATTAAAACAAACTTTTTTTATATACTTTAAGTTCTGGGGTACATGTGCAGAACGTCTAGGTTTATTACATTAAAACAAACTTTTAAAAATTTTAGATTCGGGGGTATATGTGCAGATTTGTTACATGGATATATTGGGTAATGGTGAAGTTTGGGCTTCTAGTATACCCATCATCCAAACAGAGAACATTGTATCTAACAGGTAATATTTTAAACTGTCACTCTCCTTCTACCCTTCTACCTTTGGAGTCCCCAGTTTCTATTACTTCCATCTTTATGGCCATGTGTACCCATTGTGTAGCTCCCACTTATAAGAACATGCAGTATTTGATTTTCTGTTTCTGAGTTACTTCACTTAGGATGATGGTCTCCAGCTGCATCCATGTTGCTAAATAGGACATGATTTTATTCTTTTTTTGGCTGCATAGTATTCCGTGGTGTATATGTACCACACTTCCTTTATCCAGTCAACCATTGATGGACACTTAGGTTGATTCTGTGACTTTGCTATCATGAATAGTGCTGCAATAAACATACGAATGCAGGCCTTATTTAATATAATGATTTCTTTTCCTTTGGGTAGATGCTCAGTAGTGGGATTGCTAGGTCAAATGGTAGTTTTATATATGAATTTTTTAAGGCTCTTGACATATATTTACAAATTACTTTGCAAAATGGTTGTAGAATTTGGATTCCATTCACCAATATGTGTGCATGTATTGCTTGAACCCTTATCATTGATTTTATTATTTATTTATTTATATATTTTTTTGAGACGGAGTCTTGCTCTGTCACCCAGGCTGGAGTGCAGTGGCATGATCTCGGCTCACTGCAGCCTCAACCTCCTAGGCTCAAGCAATCCTCTCACCTCAGCCTCCCTAGTAGCTCAACCACCCCACTAATTTTTTAATTATTTGTAGAGACAGGGTCTCACTATGTTGCTTAGGCTGGTCTTGAACTCCTGGGCTCAAGCGGCCTCCTGCATCAGCCTCTCAAAGTGCTGAAATTACAGGTGTGAGCCACTGCACCCAGCAGATTATACTGTTAATATCATTTTCTGTGCATAGCAAAAAACATAAGTATGATTATACTGTACCATTTATTCACTTAGTGTAGTAATATAAAAATTTGCCAATATGTTTCAAGTTCTTGGTAAATTTTTTTTCATATTATACCACATAGACCATGATTTTGATCATGTCTTTATTGTTGATATTTAGACAATTTCTTGATTTGCTGTTACAAATGATGGAACTCTGAACATCTGAAGACATTTAAAAATGTTACTTTAAGTTAGCATGATTCTCTTGATAAGTGGACCAAAGCAAAGTGGACTGAATTCTTGCACAAAGCTGTTGAGCCGACAGCCTCGACATAAGAAATGAGTATGTTCTGGTATCCCTGTGAGGTAAAAGTAAACTACTTCTGATGTTCTTTTCTTATTTATGGAAAGAAAAATGAACCAGTTAGATCAATGGCTATAATTTCAGATGCTGGGGGCTGTGCTGATTTACTTGCGAAAAGAGACTCTACCTAGAACACCTGCAAATGGAATCACTGCCTAATTAACACTCTCACTGTCCAAGACTCATTTTGCACTGGCCAAAGAAGGAAGTGAAACAGGGATGTGCTAAGAATAGTCGTTCCTGTTTCTTACAAGTCTTTGATGATGGTAATAGCCTCACATTTCTCTAGGAATGTAGTATTGCTTTGGCTTTGCCTTTTGATAGGAAGAGCTTCAAAGATTTCCACTTGGTCCTTCCTACAATTATAGTATATATTTCACAGATCAGAAGGTCAAAGTGAAAATTCTGCCAATTGTTGAGGACTTGTATTCCAACTATATATTTATTTATTCAGGAAGTGACAATATAATGGGCTAAGAGTCCCATTGAGCGCACCATGAGGCATACAAAAAACAAAACAACAACCCTGTTCATCACCTAATCCCAATAAACTCCCACACTTACCAGTTGACCATAGTAGCTTCCTGGATCCCAGTTAGTCTGTGCCATAATAACCCTGGTAAATGAACACAAATCCCTAAGTGGAAGCCTAGGAGGATAATTTAAAGAATGCACTAGTGATGTTATTGCTGGTGTCTTCTTCAAGAGTATCTTACCATGCTTTTTCTTCAAAGATCTCTAAGTCCTGAATTTATTCAGGAGGAGAATTAGATGAGGGACAGTGTTGTTCAACCAAGGAGGCTTACGTGAGGCTCTATCTGCTAGGAACTTAGTGGGCAGTTTGGTCCTAGGATCTATGTGATCTAGAACCATTTTGATTATTATTCTTACCCTGCTGTCTATTATAATAACCATGCCCACCTTGCTTTTTAAGTTATTATCCCATAAACCCCATTGAAACCAAAGAGCCCATTTCAATGGCAGAATCAACTATTTGTACCCCCAGACTACTAAAAAGAGTTCTCTTACTGGACATAGTTAGTGATGGCTGAGTAGACATATTTGATAAATCCATTCTAACATTCCCATATTCCTTCCTGTGTTTAGTAGAAAGAAATTTCTTGCAACATTATTACATTTTGTTTTTGGTTACCATTGAGTCCTGTTTTTAGATAATAGAATACATAAACTACTAAAATCACTCCTATCTGCTTGAACGCCTTTCGATAAAGGTGTTCGATCTTAAATGATTCCCCTTTCCCTCGTCTAACACTCTAAGAATGCATTATCGTTGATATTCTTCAGGTTCTTGCCATATAAATAAACAAAATTGTTTTGTTTTATGAGCCTTCTTCTTCAGAGTTTGACTTTATAATTGGCCTTCGTGTGCCTGATGCAATTGGCCCTAATTGTAGATACAAAGGCAAATTAGTAGCGATAGAAATGGGGCATGAGACAATTTGGCCACCTCCTACAAAGTAAGTGTCTGAGGCAAGGTCGTGATAAGATCTTCAAGCAAAACAAGAATAGTCTCACTAGATATGTGGGTTGGGAAATTCCAGCTTGCAAGGAATGTGCAGTGGAGTTTGGAATAATCTGTCACCCAAATTCTCCTCTTTCCTCATTTCAATTCTCAGGGTATTTCAATCTATCCCAATCACTGCACTAATTTTGAATGAGATCTGGTGATGCTGTAAATACAACTTACTCTTCAATTTTACAGTCCACAGGTTCAAATTTTGAGTTTGATTTTGTTACTTCATTTCTGAGGCTAGTAACCTAAACGTTCTCTTAGCAGTTAAAGACAGCCCTTGGTTTTCTGTTTGGAGCCAATAATTTTTATCTTAAGCCTGTCATTATCTTTCTTTAAAGTTTGGCAGCACTTAAGGAACCATGCCACTTGTCCCCCAAAACCTTCCTTCAGGCACTTCATTACAGTTGGCATAGGAAATAACAATAACTCTTTTGCCTCTATATGCTATAATCTACCTGAGAAACACTCTCTTTGAATCCTCAGTGTCTTCAGATCCAACTAAGCTCAATAATCACTTCCTTGAGGATCTGTGCCCTGAAACTCTTCTTCATAACACTTTCTGTACCAATTAAGAGTTTTTCATTGCAACTATACACTCCTTTATAACTAGTTTATCAGAAAAGGAATTTATTCAGGGATTTGAACTGATCTAAATGGAAAAAGTAATTTTGATAAAAGGAAGATGCTGTTTACCCAACTACAACTTTTGAAATCCATTCATGTGACTTTATACATAGAGATTATTCTGAAAATGCAGCTGTTGGCTCCCCCTCTCCCGCAAAAATGGCAAAACAAATTTATGAAGTAAAGTCCACTCCTCATTGCTAATTTCCTTAAAGGCTAACACGCTCCTACCTGACTCTGTTTCCATTAGCATTTAAAAATTTCTATGAAAGTCATCAGTGAGGTCCTTAACTCTCTGTATCTATCAGTTATCTACATGCAGATATCTTTTTCTTTTTGTCTTCTGTTCAATCCAAAGTTTATGATATCTACTCTTGGGCACCTGGAGAGGTTCAACTTCTTAGAAAATTCCTCTTTTGAAGGGAATTTTTATACCACTCAATGGAAACAGAAATAAAAATATCCCAAATGTTACCACAAGCCACTGTTCCCAGAGTTCAAGATCCTCTTAGTTCATTTCTACCCTAGTTCACAGTCAATATTTTCTCCATAATTATGGACAAACAGCAAATGTAACAACCACCATTATACCACAGATACAATTGCATAGTAAAGAAAAGGAAAAAAATATTAATGTAAGATGCAGCAGGCAAAGAAATAGAGGTAGAGCCTATAGCTCTTTGTACAGCTGGTCTTGAGGCTGTAACTGGTATTTTCCTCTCCTACCACCTATTCCTTGTTTTGCCTATCTTTCGTTCACACTGAAGCTGGTTGAAGTTCTTTGCCTGATAAGGCAATGCACACCTTTATTTCTTGGGGCTTGAATCCTTAGTGGTTCTGTCTGTGATGGGTTGCTATAGTCAGCTGATAATTTTCACCACTGCACATGGTATACAACAAAGGACCCCTGGGGATCTCTTGTGATCCAGCTGTACTTCTCCCAGCTTCTATTGTGAAACAGCGATCCTGTTTCCTTTCCTTTTGGTAGCCAAGGTCAGTTAGCAGGTGTCTCCCTGCTGCGAAGCCCCCACTGCCCCGCACAGGGTTTCTTAGTTTCTTAGCTGCTACGCTATTGACATTTTTGGACTGAAAAATTCTTTGTTGTTTGTGGGAGGTTGTCCTGTGCATTGTAAAATGTATCCTTGGCTTTTATTCACTAGATATTAGTAGCAACCCTAGTCCCACTCCCCAGTTATGACAGCTAAAAAGGTCCCCAGACATTGCCAAACATCTTCTGAGAGGAAAATCACCTTTTGCTGAGAACCACTGGGTTAGTGGTTTGAAGATCCCTAAAGGGACAAATGAGGTTCTCAAGCCAGTGTTCCTTCGTGAATGCTCTTCTCCTTTGTTCTATCACTTCTTCACCAGCAAAGCCTATGCTTGGAATGGTGAAGTTCCTTCAAATTGCAGCCATACCAGGACTATTGAAGGGCAATTTACCAGGAGAGTATGAAAGGGGTGATTCATTCAAGGAAGGGATGCTAAGCAGACTTGCATATTAAGCAATAAATTTGTCATGGAAAACTCGAGCTCTATAGAGAGGAAGGAAAAATATCACCATACCCCAATATTAAAAAACATTGTTAATATTTTTCTAAATAATGCTTCCACCTTTATTATAATGTATACTTATTGTAAACAATTTGGAAAACAAAAATGAAAATAACATTTCTCATAATTTTATCATCAGAAAAATACACATTTAACATTAAGATATATTTGCAGCCGGGGGCAGTGACTCACACCTGTAATCCCAGCACTTTGGGAGGCCGAGGCGGGCAGATCACAAGGTCAGGAGATCGAGACCATCCTGGCTAACACGGTGAAACCCTGTCTCTACTAAAAAATACAAAAAATTAGCCGGGCGTGGTGGTGGGCGCCTGTAGTCCCAGCTACACGGGAGGCTGAGGCAGGAGAATGGCCTGAACCTGGGAGGCAGAGCTTGCAGTGAGCTGAGATCACACCACTGCACTCCAGCCTGGGCAACAGAGCGAGACTCCATCTCAAAAAAAAAAAAAAAAAAGATATATTTGCTTTAACCAAAGTTAAAACCTATATATTCTATTGTAAAAGTAATACTTGGTTATTGTCATATCCATGAATTATAGGAATACATACCTTAGAAAGCGAATGTTCTTCCTATTCCTGATCCTCAGATATAACCACTGTTAACATTTTGATGTATTCTTGCCCATATTTTTTTCTACATGTAACACAAATTACATTAAAAAAATTCATGAATAGGTTCTTACTCTAAATATTGTTTTGCAACTTGCCCTTTTTTCTGATATCTTGAATACCTTTTAATGTAGATATGTAAATTTACCTCATTCTTTTGAAAGCCAGTATCGTATTCCACTATGTGAGTATAACCTAATTTATTTAACTAATGTATTGGTGGACATTTAAATAATTTCCAATTTTTAGATGCTATAAATAGTGATGCTAAGAGCATCTAATATATGTGGGTATATAAGGTATTGTTAAAAATAATACAAAACAGTAAAGGCCAGTTGCAAAATATAAGAATATTGTAGAAAGAGGAGGGGAGAGGTATGTGGTTTTCCAGAGATTGAGCCACATTATAAAGTTATAGTAATTAGGCCAATGTGCTATTAGTAGAAGGGTAAGCAAACAGACCACTGGAACAGAACCGGAAACCTAGAGACAGACCCATGTATAAACAGGATATATAACCACTGTGTTGTTACAAATCAGTGGAGAAATGATAAAATATTCAATATGTGGTCCTGGGACAATCATTTACCACTATGTAACACCAATTCCAAGTTGATTAATGATCTAAGTGGAAAAAGAAAAGATTCAAAACTTTTATAAGAAAATACAGGGTAATACTTTTATAATTTTGATATAAGACAGAGTTGATTAAACAAGGCATAAAATATACAAGTTGAAAAGATTGATACATTTGATTATATTAAAGATTTTAGAACTTCCTTTCAACCAAAGTTACTATAACAAAATTAAAAGGCAAGCTACAGATAGGGATAATATATTTGCATAACATTTGTTCATTCACTTGTTCATTCAACAAATATGTATTTTTTTCTTTCTTTCTTTTTTTTTTTTTTTGAGCCAGAGTCTTACTCTGTTGCCCAGGCTGGAGTGGAGTGGCACAATCTTGGCTCACTGCAACCTCCACCTCCCAGATTCAAGTGACTCTCCTGCCACAGCCTCCCAAGTAGCTGGGATTACAGGCACATGCCACCATGCCCAACTACTTTTTGTATTTTTAGTAGAGACATGGTTTCACCATGTTGGCCAGGCTGGTCTCGAACTCCTAACCTAAGGTGATCCACCCGCCTTGGCCTCCCAAAGTGCTGGGATTACAGGTGTGAACCACCGCGCCTGACCTCATTCGACAAATGTGTACTGAGTGTGCAGTATGTGCAGATGCTATCCTAGGCAGTGGAGATACTGCAAAGAATAAAACAGACAATCCTTATTTACGTGGAGTTTACTTTCTGGTGGAAAAGACAATAGGTAAAACAGTAAAATATATTGTATATATGATTTAAAAAAAACATGGAAGGGAGATAGGAAGTGCCAGGAAGGACATGGGTTGCCATTTTAGATAGGATGGCTAGGAAGGTGTGCTAGTTTCCTATTGCTGCCATAACTAAATTATCTCAAACTCAGTTGGCTTAAAATAACACAAATTTATTATCTTACAGTTTTGGAGGTCAGCAGTCAGAAAAGGGACTTATTGGGTTAAAATCAGTGTCCATAAACCTGGGTTTCTTCCTCAGGTTCTAGGGGAGAATTTGTGTCCTGACATTTCCTAGCTTTTAGAGGCTTCTTGCATTCCTTGGATTGTACCCCCCTCCACCTCCACCCCAGCCAGCAATCTCATCACTTGGATCTGTTTTCATTATGACATCTCCTTCTCTCTGTTGCCTCCCCCTTTCACTTATAAGGGCCCTTGTGATTACATTGGGCCCTCCTGGATAATCCAGGATAATCTCCTCCTTAAGATCCTTAAATATAATCACATTTGCAAAGTCACTTTTGCCATTAAGATAACACATTCACAGGTTCTGGGCATAAGGATGTGGACATCTTTGGGGACCATTCTTTGGGGTACTACAGAAGGCCTCAAATGAGAAGGTGACATTTCATGAAGGAAGGACATTTCATGACATTTCTTCATGAAGGAAGAAGGGAGCAAGAAATCTGTGGGAAGAACAATCCAAGCAGACAGAGTAGGTGGTGCAAAGGCCTTGAGGCAGGACCATGCCTAGCCTGTTTCAGAACAGAAAAGAGGACAAAGCAAAGTTAGCAAATAGTAGATAAGAAAAAGGTAATGGAGTGGTGGTGAGGGCCACATTACGTAGGGCCTTGTAACAACTGTGACCTTTACTCTGAGGGAGATGAGAGTCCTTGTAGAGTTTACTTAGTGCAGTGACATTATCTGATATATGTTTTAATGGAATCACTCTGCCTGCTATGTGAAAAATAGCTGAAAGTTAATCAAACTTGAAAGTGGGAGACCAGTGTATTAATTATGTATTGTTGCATAACAAGCTATTCCCAAACTGAAGAACTTTAAAACAACAATTTATTATTTTTCACGATTCTTTGGGTTGACTGGATGGATCCTTTGCTCCATGGTGGGGATTGCTGGGTTCATCATGCAGATGCACTCAGGAGTGAGTTTGGCTGTGACTGGGATGTCCAAGATGGCTTCACTCATGTGTCTGGTGCCTCAGGTGGGTTGTCTGGAAGGAACAGGGGCTGTTTAGGCATCACTTGCGAATGGGTAATCAGACTCCTCACGTGGTGGCTCAAAGTTCCAAGAGAGCTAAAGTAGAAAGTGTCAAGTCTCCTTAAGGGGTAGGCCTGGAACTGGCTCAGCATCATTTCTTCAAATTCTATTGGTCAAAGCAAGTCAAAAGGCCTGCTCAGTTTCAGGGAGAAAATGGACTGCATCTCAATGAGGAGGATTGACATCCGTATATAGTTAGGAGGCTATTGCTCTATTTCAAGTGACAGATGATAGTAACTTGAGTTAAGGTACTAACAGAATTTGGGGAGACTGGTTGTAATATGAATATGTTTTGAAGGTAGATCCAAAAGGATTTTGGTAATAAAAAGTATCTTAGTCTGCTCAGGCTGCCATAACAAAATACCATAGACTAGGTGGCTTAAACAATAAAAGTTTATTTTCTCAACAGCTCAAGACTGGAAGTTGAAGATCAGGGTACCAGCATGGTTGTGTTTTGGTGAGGACTCTCTTCCTGGCTTGTAGATAACTACCTTCTTGCTCTGTCTTCATATAGCCTTTCCTTGGTGTATGGAAAGAGAAAGAGATCTTTTCTTATGAGGCCACCAATCCTAATGGATCAAAACCTTTCCCTGGTGCACGGACAGAGAAAGAGATGTAGCCTTTCCTTGGTGCATGGACAGAGAAAGAGATATTTTCTTGTAAAGCCACCAATCCAATCCTAATGGATCAAAACACCACTCTTATGACCTCATTTAACCTTACTTAACTCCTAAAAGCCCTGTCTCCACATATAGTCACACTAAGGGTTGGGCTTCAACATGAATTTGTGGGGGAGGGTGGCCCAATATGGAATGGGAAACAGAGGAGTCAAAGATGACTCTAGTGTTTAGTCTGACCTGCTGGAAGAATAGAAATTAACTGAAATAGGGAACACTGCTGAAGAAGTAGGTATTGGAAGATGGCTATGTTCAGTTTTAGACACGTTAATTTTGAGAAGCATGTTAGACACTCAAGAGAATATAGTAAATAGGTAATTCGATATGAGTTTGGACTGGATTTATGAGTTTTCTGAACTGAATATATGAAGTGCAGGAATTGTTAGATTATAGATGGCATTTAAAACCATAAGAATGGGATCAACAAGGGAGTAAGTGTAATAGAGAAGAGAGGAGGACTTCTGCAGCAATTCAGTGTTTGGGGAGGTAAGGAGAAACTATAAAGGACTGGGAAGAAGTGGCTACTGAGGTATTATAGAAGGAGAGTCAAGAGAATGTGGTTTCTAGACACAGGGAATGACAACTGTTTTAAATGCTGCTTCAGGGTCAAGTGAGATGAGGAGTTAGAACTGACGATCAGATTTTGCAATGCGGAAGTCATTGCAAAATCCCTAGATTTTGACAAGAGCAGTTTCTGAGAAATGATGGGGTGAAAGCCTGATTAGAGCTAGATCAAGAAGAATGGGAGAAGTAGAGATAGTAAATGTTTGCATCCTGTATGGCACCAATCACATTGTCAGGCATAAACCAGGCACAGAAATATTTGTTGAAATATTGTCAAACCTATAAAGTACTTTACATACTTTTTTGTTATGGAGTATTAAAAATAAACTTAAGCCGGCCAGGCACAGTAGCTCACACCTGTAATCTCAGCATTTTGGGAGGCTAAGGTGGGCAGATCACAAGGTCAGGAGTTCAAGACCAGCCTGGCCAACATGGTGAAACCCCATATCTACTAAAAATACAAAAAAAAAAAAAAATTAGCTGGGCATGGTGGCACACACCTGTAATCCCAGCTACTCAGGAGGCTGAGGCAGAAGAATCGCTTGAACCTGGGAGGCAGAGGTTGCAGTGAGCCAAGATCGTGCCATTGCACTCCAGCCTGGGTGACAGAGCGAGACTGCATCTCAAAAAAATAAATAAATAAAAATAAAAATAAAAATAAACTTAAGCCATATTGTTTAATGCTTTTTCCTAATAACATTGAATTATCTATATATTTACATGTATATAGTAAATTTACATATATATATATACACAATATATTTACAAGACTTGAAAGGAATGTTTCCCAACACTTTTAAAAATTTGTTTTAATAGCTTCATTGAAGTATAATTCACATGTAACTCATCATTTAAACTGACTGATTCAATAATTTTTAGTATATTCACAAATAGGTGAAACCATCACCCTAGTCAATTTTAGAACATTTCCGTCTCCTCACAAAGAAACCCTACATCCTTTAGCTATCACCCCTCCACCTCACTGTTACATGGCCCCTAGCCCTAGGCAACCTTGAATCTACTTTCTATCTATAGATTTGCCTATTTTGGACATTTTATATAAATGGAATCATATAATAAGTGGTCTTTTGTGACTGACTCCTTTCACTCTGCATAATGTTTTTAAGTTTCATCCATGTTGCAGCATGAATAGTACTTCATTCCTTTTTATTGCCAAATGATATATCATTTTGTTTATCCATTTATCTACTGATAGACATTTGGGTTATTTCTACTTTTTGGTTATTGTGAGTAGTGCTGCTATGAACATTTGTGTTCAAGGTATATAGTTAACAGTGGAATTGCTGGGTCATATGGTAATTCTATGTCCAACTCTTTGAGGAACTGCCAAATTGTCTCCTATAGTGGCTGGACCATTTTACATTCCTACCAGCAATTGATCAGGGTTCCAATTTCTTCATATCTTCACCAATTATTATTTTCTGTCTTCTTTTTAAATTTAGTCATCCTAGTGGATTTGAAGTGATATCTCATTGTGGTTTTACCCATCACTCTTTACTTCTTCAATATGAGCTTCTCTTTCTTGTGTTATAAAACTGGAACATCATTTTCTCCTACTACATCCTAGCATTGCTTGAAAAATAAATCTTTGAATTTATTCACAATAAAGGTAATGTGTACACTTCACAATACCACTCTGGATCCCACAGATATCTTTTAAATATTATGGTTATCTTTTAAAAAACAGAAACTCCAGATTCTTACAATTCCCCATGATCTCTTCTACCCCAGGATTTAGTTATTTATGTAATAACTAAATAAGGGAAATGCTGAAATAGATAATCTGTTAATTATCTTCTCTTTACTGGATTATATGATTTTCCTTCAATATCCAAAACCAGTTTTTTTTGTTTGTTTTTGTTTTTGTTTTGAGGTGAAGTCTTGTTCTGTGGCCCAGGCTGGAGGTCAGTGGCGCTATCTTGGCTTACTGCAAACTCCCGCCCTGGGTTCAAGAGATTCTTCTGCCTTAGCCTCTGGGGATTACAGGTGCGTGCCACCACACCCAGATAATTTTTGTATTTTTTAGTAGAGACTGTTTCACCATGTTGGCCAGGCTGGTCTCGAACTCCTGACCTCAAATGATCTGCGCGCCTTGGCCTCCCAAACCAGTTTTGATATGCGATTTTTCTCTTAATCTAATGGTGACCAATGAGAGGATTTATGAACTGAATAACCACCATGCAATTGAAAGGCTTAGTGCTTCATTCAGAGTCAAATATAGGCAATTAGAATGCAACAGGGGGCCAGGCACAGTGGCTCACTGTAATCCCAGCACTTTGGGAGGCCTAGGCAGGTGGATCACTTGAGCCCAGGAGTTTGAGACCAGCCTGGGCAACATGGCGAAACCCCGTCTCCACAAAATGGAGAGAAAAAAAAAATTAGCCGTGCATAGTAGCATGTGCCTGTAGTCCCAACAACCTGGGAGGCTGAGGTGGGAGGATCACTTGAGCCCGAGGAGGTCGAGGCTGTAGTGAGTGAGCCGTGGACTGCAGCCTGGGTGACAGTGAAACCGTGTCAAAAAAAAAAAAAAAAAAAAGCAACAATAACAAGTAAAAACAACATCAGAGGTAAGATCCTACTAAAAATCTTTACCTTCCTCTCCCTGACTTGGGGTGGTTGTCTTCCTTTAAAAAACAAACAAAAAACTGTTTTGCCAAGTACCAAAACTATGTGTTTGCATCTGAAGCAATAAAACAAGGAGACCAGGTAGGGATGCAGGTTGTTACAGAAGTTGAAATCTATTTCCTGACAAAGGAGTAGCTACAAGTTGGAACACCTGGGGAGGCCTGGGGTAAATGCATATGCAAATAAGTGCTGGGAAAGTGCTCCTGGGATTCACCTCCCTTAAATACTTTCAGAAGTCATTACAGGTTATGAAACTTAGTGTTCTAATCATTACATTTATGGGAAAGAGTGGAAAGCAGTTCAGGTAACATAGCTGTAGTTGAACAGGCTAGGGGAGTGGTGGCTGGAGAAAGAAAAGAAATATAGTTGATCCAGGTTTTGGAAAGTTGAGATCTTGGGATGTGCTACTCCAGGAGAGTTAGGAAAAATACCCTTTTCCTCGACTATGGTACAGTACAGTAAGTATTGACTCTGAAAATGTTCGTAAGTACTGGCTTCCTTGGATCTAGAGGGAGTCACATTAAAATGGCTACATTTGTATCAGAGCTGTCTTTTATTCTTTTTGGCATGGTCAAGTCATTTCTAATCAGAGTAGGGGGAATACTGGTAGATCAGACGTCACTCAAACTCATGAGAATTATCTGTTTAACATCCACAAAGCAAGTAGCCCAACAAGCAAGGTCCCCAGGAGCCTACTTTATCCTCAAGGAATCTGCTTAGTCAATTGACGTATTCACAGGGCTGGAGAGGTATGAGTGGTGGTTACCTTCGTGCCAGAGCAGAACATGCCTTGTAGTTACTGCCATATTCTAGCCAAGTTACTCCATTTACTGTTCCTTTGTTCCTAAATTAACAAGGAGAAAAGACTGTGTGTTCAACACATGACCACAATAGAGAGGTTATTTAGAGAAAGCTTAAAATGTACTTGTGTTTTCTGTACTAGGCCTAGGGCACCCCAGTTATGAAGCCTTGGCCTGAGTTTCTCTCTAGACGGTGCTGAATTGCCATCTAGTTACCTATTCTGACACCAGGAACATGATTCTTCAACAAACATTGACGGAAGCTTACATGGGACCGGATCACAGCGCTGAGAAGCACTGGGGCTAAGGGGCGGCACAAAGTCTAGATATGGTGGCAGCACCTGCTCATAATGAAATGCCCACAGTTTAGTGGAACACAGCTGCTATTACTCACCTGTCTATCATTTTGTTTGGGAGAGCCCTGGTGGGAGAGGAGTATGGTATTTAATATTTAATTGAGCAGTTATATGTGAAAGAGCGTTTTCACGAGACTTAACTCCTTTCATCCTCAAATAACCCTACAAGGCGGGTACTATTCTATCCCTATGTTACAGATAAGGAAACTGAGGCAGAGAAGTTGCGTGCTTCATCAAGGTCACACAACCACTCCGTGGAGGCAAGTTGAACACAGGCTGTCCGGCTTCTGAGAGCCAGTGGAGAGGAGGGAGACGGTGGGAGACGGGCAGGGGGAAAAGGTGGAAGTAGACCCGAAGGGCAGGCTTGATCTTCATAAGAGAAAACAGTACTAACACCATCCACTGATTGACTCGCATATTTCCATCACTTAAAGCTCCTGGCGTCACTGCCAGGAATGGAAAGTTAAAAAACTCCCAGCTCTGTAAGGTTCTGCCTGGATCCTGAAAAAAACCTTCCCACATGCCCCGAGGAAACTCGAGGGCTCGCTTCTTTCTCACATCCCTGGCCCGGGGCACCGGAGGTCCCGCTCCGGCGGAGGAACTACAACCCCCACAGCACCGCGCGCGAAGCTGGGCCCCCCTGAGGGAAGGGTAAGGTGTCCCGAAGGTGCCTTCAGAAAAAAATTACGTACGTTTTTCGTCGCTTTCCCACGATCACACAGATCTCAGGTCCAGGAGGACGCATCGTCTTTTTAGTAACAGTGCATGCTGTGAGGCTTGTAGAGTCGCCTCTCTCTTCAGGCGCAGCAGAGGGCGGCCGCAATAGTACGCTCGCGCGGCGGTGGCGGGTGGTGGTCCTTGGACCACGCGGTGGGCGGAGCCAGCGGCGACGGCCTCCCCTCCCCTCCGGACGCAGGCCGGAAGTACGTGAGAGGAGACTTCCGGCCACTGCGTTGTAGTCGGCCCGGCTGCAAAGCGTTTTTCTGCAGGCTGTTTTCCCAGGTTCCCTCGGCCTGTACCTCGCGCACTCCTCTTGCTCCAGGTCCTTCAGTCTCCGCTCGTCTCACCGTAGGCTGTGACGACATGAGCAACAAAGAAGGTGGCGTCCTTAACAACACGGGGCGTTATTTATCCGGAGGGGGAGGTTCTCCAGTCTTTCTATGCAGTTTTCCCCTTTTCACCCTTGAAGGATGCCTTCGTCCCTTGTAGACTCGGGGGCGGCCCCTCTGTTTCTCTCCCCGGCCAGATCGGCCCTGTTTACACCTCCTTTTTTCTTAAATTTTTGAGGTGTGATTTTATCCTAGTTCAGTAATTGCTGTAATGCCAGATCATAGCACCAGTTGGTGGAAACTTGGATGATTTGCTTGGAAAGGCCTGGGCAGCGTCTCTGTCAGTCTGCGGAGAAAGCCTCTAAGGCGAGGGCCCTGTGGGTATCTGGTTTTAAAGCAAGGAGTAGGTTTGTCTATGTTGTGTTTTGCAAACTCTTGGTGATGGAAGATCCCTCTCTTTTTTTCTTCTCTATATAAGGATCAGGAGGGTTCAGGAAAAGGAAGCATGACAATTTCCCACATAACCAAAGAAGAGAAGGGAAGGATGTTAATTCATCTTCACCCGTGATGTTGGCCTTTAAATGTAAGTTCTCTGCAATGTAAGTTGAAGAAGGGGAGAGAACAAAATTATTTAGCCATGGTTATGCGCAAGAAAACAGTCCCTAAGAATTTAATGTGAAACTTTAGCTGGAGGTTTTGTGATGGCGCTAGATGTACCCTAAAAGTCTGGATTACAAAGGCCTTCACTTTTATGTCCCATTAAGAGAAATATTAGTAATCAGGTAAACATGACTTAAACACAAGAAACAGTAAACATTAATTAATATTTGACATGTCACATACTCAAGAATTGTGTACCTGATAATATTTACTCATCTGTTATATGCTAAAATATATTTTCATTTAGTGTGTATTTGTTTCCTCTACTAGACTTGAAGACAGGGACGGTATCTTTGTTTTAACTGTAACACTTAGCACAGAGTGGGAGCTTGTATCTATTAGTGAATCTCGCATATCTATATACACATATTTTCACAGTCCCCTTTTCTCAGCATATTAACTTGGACAAGTTATTCCTCAATTCAAAACAAACACAAAACAAAATCCTCTTCCTTTTGTCCCTGTCTATCCACTATCCTGTACCTTACGTTTCTGTGATTAAGGAATCTGGGAAGGGCTTAGCTGGTTGATTCCTATTTGCAATCACCTGAAGCCTTGATTGGGGCTGAAGGATCTACAGCTGTTGATAGTTTAGGCCTTTTGCCTGCAACCAGCTCTCTGTTCCTGTCCACATGAACTTCTTGTGCTGCTTGGATGTCCTTTGGTGTGGCATCTGGCCTCCTTCAGAGAGAGAGAGTGCAAGAGAGCAAGGAGGAAACCACAATCTCTATGTCCTAATCTCAGACATCAGACACTGTCATTTTTGTCACATTGTGTTTGTTAGAAGGGAGGCAGTTTTAAAAACTGTCTCACATTGAAGAGGAAGGAAGTTATGTCCCACCCTTTGGAGGGAGGAGTCTCAGGTTATTTGTGGATATATTTGAAAACCACCACAGTATCTACTGTGATCGTCAGAAGTTTAAGACAGCTGGCCGTAATTGAATAAAGAGCGTACTGATACAGAAGGTGGAGTTGCGGCTGGGTGTGGTGGCTCACGCCTGTAATCCCAGCACTTTGGGAGGCCGAGGCGGGGGGATCACGAGGCCATGAGTTTGAGACCAGCCTGGCCAACATGGTGAAACCCTGACTCTAATAAAGTACACGGTGAAACCCCGTCTCTACTAAAAATACAAAAAATTAGCCGGGCGTCAGTAGTCCCCACTACTTGGGAGGCTGAGGCAGGAGAATGGCGTGAACCCAGGAGGCGGAGCTTGCAGTGAGCCGAGATCGTGCCACTGCACTCCAGCCTGGGCAACAGAGCGAGGCTCCGTCTCAAAAAAAAAAAAAAAAAAGTACGAAAAATTAGTTGGTCGTAGTGGGAGGTGCCTGTAATCCCAGCTACTCGGGAGGCTGAGGCAGGAGAATCGCTTGAACCCGGAACGCGGAGGTTGCAGTGAGCCGAGATCGCGCCTTTGCACTCCAGCCCCGGCGACAGAATGAGACTCCATCTCAAAAAAAAGAAAAGGTGGAGTTGCTTCTAAGGTGGTGTCCTCATTACCCGTCTGCTGAACTACAGTTTTTTGGTTTTTTTTTTTTTTTGAGACAGAGTCTCTGTCACACAGGCTGAGATAATAATTAGGCACGATCTTGGCTCACTGCAAAACCTCTGCCTCCTGGGCTCAAGCCATTTTCCTACCTCAGCCTCCTGAGTAGCTGGGACTACAGGCGTGTGTCACCATGCCTAATTTTTTTAAATTTTTTTGTAGAGACAGGGTTTCGCCATGTTGCTGGAGGCTGGTCTTGATCTCCGAGCTCAAGCAGTCTGCCCGTCTCGGCCTCTCAGAGTGCTGGGATTACAGGCGTGAGCCACTGCGCCTGGCCTGAACTACAATTTTCTTTAAGACCTAGCTCAAGTAGCCTCTTTCCTGTGAATGCGTTCTGATTTTTCTCTCAAGCCGACTTGGTGACCAACATGAAATATTTATTGAGTATCTGCTATGTTCTCGCATGTATTAGTAGTGAACAAGAAACGTGGTTTCTGCTTTCATAAGTTTTTTACATATATTTGTTATAGCATGATTACATTTTATTTGTTTACATCTCTGTCCCTCATACAGGACTGAGCTCCTTGAGGATAGGAATTGTTCCTTATCTAACTTTGTGTTCATAGTGTCTGACTTACAGTGGTCATTAATATAGCCATAATAAATAATGAATACATATTGATTATCTTAACCCTGGCCTAGTTATTATCTCAGTAATAAAAGACTAGATATATTTAGATCCATGTCAGCTACTAATTTAGTTAATAGTTTAAGTTCTTGTTTTTTCAGTTCGTGCAATATACATGATTGGGTGTTTCCTATAGGCCAGGCAGCTTGCGGGGCTGTGGAGTGAAAAGACTTGGGAAATAAAGGCGTTATTAAGAGAGTTAAGTGGTTTAAGGGTATTTCAAGGTACAGAGCTTGATAAATTCAGGAAGTTTATACTTGAAATTTGCTAAGTAAGTAGATCTTAAATGTTTTTACCACAATTAGCTGGGCATGACAGCATGCGCCTGTAGTATGCTTATAGTCCTGGCTACTCCGGAGGGGCTGGGGCAGGAGGACTGCTTCAACTCAGAAGTTTGAGGCTGCAGTGAGCTGTGATTGGGCCACTGCACTCCAGGCTGGGCAACAGAGACCCTGACTCAAAAAGGAAAAAAAAAAAACTAACTGAGGTGATGGATACGTTAATTAGCTTAATAGTGGTAATAACACACACACACACACACACACACACACACACACACACACACACACACACACACAGTTTTGGTTTTTTTTTTTTTTTGGAGACAACGCCTCACCCTGGCCCAGGCTGAAGTGTGCAGTGGCGTGATCTTGGCTCACTGCAAGCGTAGCCTCTTGGGCTCAAGTGATCCTCCCACCTCAACCTCCCAAGTAGCTGGGACTACAGGCATGTGCCACCACACGTGGCTAGTTTTTAGATTTTTTTGTAGAGGCAGGGTCTCACTGTGTTGCCCCTGCTGGTCTCGAACTCCTGGGCTCAAGTGATCTGTCCCCCTTGGCCTCCCAAAGTGCTGGGGTTACAGGCATAATCAATCATGCCTGGCCTTATAATTTTTAATTGTCAGTTATACCCCAGTAAAGGTGGAAAAGCAGGAAGACAACAGGGAAAAAAATTTTAATAAACTTGAAAAAAAAGGTCCAAGTTTCTTTTTTTGGAGGTGTTTATATTATTAATATATGTGGTTAAAGTAATTTTTAAAACTTTATGTAACTCTTTGTTACGTGTCATTTTGTGATAATCTCTTGTTTACTAAGTTCATTTTTTACAACTTGTACAGTATTCCCATTGTGAGACTAAGTAGTAAAACCCAGTTAATACATACCTATATTTAAAGAGGAAAATATTTTAGTTGAGCCTTTTTGATTTCCATGTAATTTAGAAATAAGATGATTTTATTCTCTTCATTTTCATAAACTGAATAATTATTGCTTTCTTACATATAGAGACAGTACTTTTAGGTACAGACTGTTTTTGCTTTCTAGCCATTTGTATTCTAAGAAAATTAAAATCATTTCCCTTTTTTTTCCTTTCATAAGATTTACCAAGTGTTTTGGAAAAGTTTGACATAAAAGCTTACAGGTCTGTCAGAGGAGATTTTAAAAGGGATTTCATGGGAAGTCTTTTTTTTTTTTTTTTGAGATGGACTCTCACTCTGTCACCCAGACTGGCGTGCAGTGGTGCAGTCTCAGCTCACTGCAACCTCCGCCTCCCAGGTTCAAGCAATTCTCCTGCCTCCGCCTCCCAGGTTCAAGCAATTCTCCTGCCTCAGCCTCCCAGGTAGCTGGGACGACAGGCCTGTGCCACCATGCCCGGCTAATTTTTGTATTTTTAGTAGACATGGGGTTTCACTATATATTGGCTAGGCTGGTTTTGAACTCTTGACCTCAAGTGATCCACCCACCTCAGCCTCCCAAAGAGCTGGGATTATAGGCGTGAGCCATCGCGCCCGGCCCGGAAAGTCTTTAATGAGAAGCACTAGCTTCCAGACAAAATTTCATGAGATAGTATAGTTTGTTCAACTCAAACCCAGGATCTTTAATGTCCGAGCAACCACTTTGCTATCAAAGTTGGAGTTAATTGCATTAAAAGGAGTTATCAGATCAATATTCTACTGTTGTTGAATCATCTGAGTAAAGAAATACTGTCTCTTTTTAAATTTATTTTGAGGTAATCTCAAATTTATTTAAAAAACTAGAAGACTTAATGCAGTTGGAAAAATAGTACAGAGAATTTCTGTATAGACTTGACTTAGATTGACCAATTTTTAACATTTTGCCACTTTTGCTTTATTATTCTCTCTATATATGTAAATTTATATGTCTAACCATATATTCTGAACCATTTAAGAACAAGTTGCATGCATCATACCCCTTTACTTGTTAATACTTCAGAATATATTTCCTAGGAAGAAGACTATTCTGTTGTATAACTCTAGTATTGTTAACTAATTTCAGGAGATTTAACACTGACATAATACTTTAATCTACAGTGCATATTTTGACAATTGTCTCAATAAGGTTCCTTCCAGCTTTTTTTCTCTCTAGTCCAGTAATCTAGAACAGGATCACATATTACATTGTAATGTCTCTTTTTAGTTTTCTGTGATCTGGAACAGTTTCCCAGTTTTGTCTTTCTTGACAATGATATTGATTGAAGAATATAGGTCTTATTTAATAGAATATTCCTCAACTTAGATTTGATTAATATTTTCTCATGGTTAGATTCAGGTTATGCATCCCTGGCTGGAATACTACATAAATGATGGTTTGTTGATTTGTTCTTTTTGGGGGTATTGCAAGGGACCAAGTAATGTAAGGCTTCATAAAGAGTTTGGAGTTTGTTAAACGTAATGCAGAGTCATTAGAGAGTCTTAAAAACTAAAGTATATTTTAGAAATGTCACTCTGGCAGCTACAGAAAGGCAAGGTGGGCAGACGCAGACCAGACAAGAGACTATTTTGTAGTTCCGGTACAGTAAGGTATTTGTAAGGTAACTTAGAGGTAATAAAGTAATAAGGTAACTTAGATTTGGATGACAGTAATGAAGCTGATGAGACAGATTCAACAGTGCTTTATAAAATTAACTTATATTACTATTATGAGTAATTTATACTTTATTCCAACTGCATTAGCATACATTTGAAAAAGTAATAGCAGCAAAATAATAAGACATTATTCCATGTTAGGGGCAGTGCTTATTGGGCACATGGATTTGCAGTTCCTTTTCAACAATTTCTTAGTTCCCAGGAGATTGCATACCCTTAGTACGTTTATCTCAAACTACAACAGATGCTCTTATCCAGTATGTTATACTGCTTATGATTTCAACAAGCAGTTCAGTCAGGAAATGTTTTGTGAACACCTGCTGCTAGACATGGATCTATGCTCTGATACAGTGGTGAAACAAGTGCATTTACAAATAAATAATATAATTTTAGCTAGCGAAGGATAAATGTAAATCAGTGAAGCGTGGTAAGGAATGGAGAGTAAGGGAGGAGGGAGGCACGTGATTCTTAAGCAGTCCTTGAGCAGAATGATATCTGAATGATGAAAGTGAAATGTGAGATGATGAGAGGCAGTAGCAAAAATAGAGGCATCAAGAAAGGTACAAGCTTAGAGAATCAGGACTAGCAAGAAGACATAGTCTGCCTGGCTCATGAGCTAAGGGCAGGACATGAGGCAGTTTAATGTGTTAGAGGCATGAATTTACTATGAAAAGATTCTAGATTCTGCGGGTTATTTTTCCCATAGGTAATGTAATCTTTATGTAGACTCCCAGTTGTTGTACTGTTTTATTAAATGTTAGGTATATACAACGTTCTGTAAGTATAGCTTTGTGTTCTGGAAAAGGTAAACAGTCTTTCTTCAGTTAAATTTATTTAATACCTTTTGCTCTAAGTATATTCACAAAACTTTAGATGTAGTCTTTTAAACAATAATACAAAGTAATTATTTTGTTAACTGTTAAGAATTTTAGTAAGGAAAAAATTTTGAGGCTGAAACATCTGATAGTGGTATAATGAAAGCTTGTTCTTTAAAAAAACTTAAAACACTGTTTTTGTTTGGCAGTCTCAAGTTAGGCTTTCCGTAAAAAGTTTACCAAGGTAAAATTCTTTGAGTCTCAATATTCGAGACTAAAACAAATTAAGCAGAGTAGATGAAACTTAAGTTAGCATAAAAGGTAAGCAGATTGGCAGTTATATGTAATAGATAGAAACAAAAGTATTCCATTCAGCATTAAGTGCTGATCGAATACAGGTAAGGAGAAAACAGTAACTATAAGGAATCAAAGTGCTGACATTTAAGGAGACAAATGTATGAAAATTTTCCTGAAGGCAAGACATGTTAGAATTGTGAAAATGCTTTGTTCTGTAAGGAAAAGGATGTATGAAAGTGGGGAGGAAATCTTTTCTTAATGTAATATTATGTTATGGGAGATTTGTGTCCGTAACAATTTGACAGGTTGAAGATTAATTCTATGTGGAAGTGTTGAGTCTTCGAAGATAGTATGTAAGAATTGGACACCACAGCCTGCGTTCAGCCTTTCATCGATCTCAGGAACTCTTCTTCATTTTCTCCTACTTTCAGTTCTCTTCCTAGATTTCTAACATCCTGACTAACTCAATTTTCAGCTGACTTTTTTCCAGCCTAATTAAATTTTGATGTTTCTTACTGATCATTTTCAGATGAACTCTGCCACAGCTTTCTATTGATTGCAGAACTACTTTATGATCTAGTTCTCTAGTTATAACAAAACTAACTCATGTAGTGATTGTCTATTTTCAGTCATTTTTCCTTTTTTCTTCTTTACTAATCTTTCTGAAAATAATATTTCTGAAGTATATTATGCTTATGTATGCAATATTACTACATGGTAAAACAGTAAATTTGAGATTATGTACTTTCTAAAATAAACGGGCTAACTAGATTTTTACTTAGTATTTAAATGTGATATAATTTGGTAGCTTTTTAAAAAATTAAGATACAATACACATACTGTGGCACTCACTTTTAAGAAGTTGTTTCATGTTCATTTTAATATACACGTGCTACCTTACTACAATTGACAGATTTTTAGAAAATCTTCAAGGATTCAGGAATTTGTGAGCTGCTGTGCGTTGTTGGCATTTACAGAAATTATTAGATATTTAGTTTTAAAGGTTTAGAAATCTGGGAACATTAACTGGACCTCTTGAGCTACTTTAGCGCTGTTAGTGATGTATACCTAGGATATTTGACAATTAACACTAGAGTCAGTAGATGCTAGAGATTGTTTATAATCACCTTTTTGTGTTTTGAGAATTAGTGTCATTACCATCGTGTTCTACTTCTGAATGAAGTCAGGTGACTGCAGTCATTGTCTGCATTTACATTGTGACATCTTTTTTTTTTTTTCTTTTTTTTGAGACGGAGTCTCGCTCTGTCACCAGGCTGGAGTGCAGTGACTTGATCTCGACTCACTGCAACCTCTGCCTCCGGGGTTCAAGCGATTCTTCTGCCTCAGCCTCCCGAGTAGCTGGGACTACAGGCACATGCCACCATGCCCAGCTAATTGTTTTATTTTTAGTAGAGACGGGGTTTCACCGTCTAGGCCAGGATGGTCTTGATCTCTTGACCTCATGATCCACCTACCGTGGCCTCCCAAAGTGCTGAGATTACAGGCGTGAGCCACCGCACCCAGCATATGTGACGTACATCTTAAAAATATTGTTTGGTAGGCTTTGAGTATAGAATATACATGCTTATGATCATAATGTGTTTTTAGCATTTCAGCAGGAACTTGATGCAAGGCATGACAAATATGAGAGACTTGTGAAACTTAGTCGGGATATAACTGTTGAAAGTAAAAGGACAATTTTTCTCCTCCATAGGATTACAAGGTGAGTAAGCATCTTTAGAATTTATTACAGTTTGATACTAGCTATTAGAATATTCTGTGACTTTGTGAGGATTAGAAGACATCAGCAGTAGGTACAACTTAAGAGTTAATATTTTAATAAAAATAGGTCTCAGCTGGGTGTGGTGGCGCATGCCTGTAATCTCAGCACTTTGGGAGGCCAAGGCGGGCAGATCACTTGAGCTCAGGAGGTCGAGACCAGCCTGGGCAACATGGTGAAACCCTGTCTCTACTAAAAATACAAAAATTAGGTGGGATTGGTGGTGCATGCCTATCATCCCGGCTACTTGGGAGGCTGAGGTGGGAGGCTTGCTTGAGCCTGGGAGGCAGAGGCTGCAGTGTGCCAAGATCCCACCACCGCACTCTAGCCTGGGCGACTAAGCCAGACCCTGTCTCAAAAAAAAAAAAAAAAAAGGAAAAGTCTGTAGGGGTTGGGTGGACTTAAGAAAGAAAAATTCAGAGCAGCTAGGGATTTTGTGTTAAGATTATTCATTAAGATATAGCTATTGTCTGTGAAAATATATGATATATTTTGATTGTTAGAGCCTGTTACATTAAACTTTATTTGGATGATATGCGTGAAAATTTTAATATTAGATAAATGTTAAAATCTGCATAACCTATTTTCTCGTTCATTTTTGAACTCATGGCAGTCTGGCTTTCTGCCTCACAATTATTGAAATGCCCTTGTTACCTTCATATTATTAAGTCTCTGTTTTCTTATTTTACATTTTTGTAGCATATGATACTGTTGACTACTTAATTCTTTTTCGAAAGTTCCTGTTTCAGTTTTGTGACTTTTGTTTACATTTTTTTCTCTAGGACTTTACTATTTTATTTTTCTACGCAGGCTTTGTATATTTGATAGACTTCGTGATTGCAAGTAAAAGAAACTAACTTAAACTAGTCTAAGCAGAACGGGGAAATTAATTATAAAAAAAGCCACTATCAACTAGCAGATTTCTTATTTTATGCACTATTTTCTATTACAGTTGTAATCATATTATTCATACAGTTTTGACTAGTAAACTGAGAAAATAGCAGACTTCAGAAAAATTAGAACTTCCCAAGATTCAGCACTATCTTATGAGCAGCTGAGGATCTCCATCTTCCATCTTTGCTTCTTTGTTTGCTTCATAATTCATTTGACCTGATTCCTTTGCCTGTTTCACGAGAGGTAGAATAGTATCTACCCTACAACTCCCCAGCTTACGTGTTTTAGTCCAGCTTCTGAAGACGGATTGTTGTTACAAATTCCAGATGTCTCCAGAAGGGTAGCTGTGATTGGTTTTATACTATATGTCACAGAAAGAATGTAGGGAAGATCACATATAATTTATTAGCTTTTCGTTATTGAAGATATTATTGCCCGGGCATGGTGGCTCACACCTGTATGGGCAACATGGCAAAACCCCATCTCTACAAAAAATACAAAAAACTAGCTGGAGATGGTGGTATGCAAGTGTAGTCCCAGCTGCTCAGGAGACTGAGGCAGGAGGATTGATTGAGCCCAGGTGGTCAAGGCTGCAGTGAGCCATGATTGTGCCACTGTACCCCAGCCTGGGCGACAGAATGAGACCCTGTCTCAAAAAAAAAAAAAAAAAAGATACTGAAGTATTCCGTTCAGTAACATGAAACTTTTAAGATAATTCTCACATTTTAATTTTTACTTCATTAAATGGAATCTAATTTGCCATACATAGATTTATTGAAATATGGCACTGTTAACATTTTCTTTTTCTTACCTGACTGTGTAAAATTAGTTTTTGCTTGTTTTCTCATATCATTCTTAGATAGCTTGTACATAATAAGGCTTGTATTATCGAAAGAAGCAATACTGTTCTTATTAATTATGGACACTTTTTTTTAGTACTTATTACAATTCTAAAACAATTGCCATCAGTATTCAGCAGTAATATAAATAACAAAAGCAATAATATAAAGAAAAACATACAGATTGAGTATCCTAAATGCTTGGGACTGGAAGTGTTTTGGATTTCGGATTTTGGAATACTTGCAGATAATGTATGGGTTGAGCATCCCTTATCTGGAAATCTGAAATCTGAAGTGCTCTTGTGAGCATTTCCTTAGAGTGTCTTGTTGCTAAGAAAGTTTTGGATTTTGGAGCATTTTGGATTTCGGATTTTCAGATTAGGGATGCTCAACCTGTAATAGGAATATGACAGGAGACCTTAATATTTTAGAAAAATCTGCGTTACTGTGTGAAGTCATCTTTTAAATATTTTTCCACCAAAAAATAAATGCTCATTATAGTAAACTTAGAAAATGGTAGTCTTTAGAAAAATTACGAATGGCAGAAAGGTAAAGCTACTTAATGAGACAAATCAGTCTGTAGTACCCAAAGATAGCCTCTATCAACTAGCAGATTTCTTATTTTGTGCACTGTTTTTTATCATAGTTGTGATCATACTGTTCATACAGTTTTGACTAGTAAACTGAGAAAATAATAGACTTCAGAAAAATAAGAAACTTAAGAAAAAAATAGAAACTTTAGAAATATTAGAAACTTCAGGAAAGTAAAGATACTTCATGAAAGAGGCTGGATGTGGAGGCTCATGCCTGTAATCCCAGCACTTTGGGAGGCCAAGGCAGGCAGATCACTTGAGGTCAGGAGTTTGAGACCAGCCTGGCCAACATGGCGAAACCCTGTCTCTACTGAAAATATAAAAATTAGCCGGGCTTGGTGGCATCCCAGCTACTCGGGAGGCTGAGGCAGGAGAATTGCTTGAACTCAGGAAGCGGAGGTTGCTTGAACTCAGAATTGTGCCACTGCAATCCAGCCTGGGTGACAGAATAGGACTCTGTCTCAAAAAAAAAAAAAAAAAAAAAAAAACTTTATGAAAGAAATGAGCCAGTCACAGTACAGCTGAAAAACTGTTGTGAGAGGACCTCATGTATTTTAACTACAAAATTATTTTAATAGACATAGATAACTCTTCTTCAGTGAGCTTCAGTAGTTTGTGTCTTTCAAGGAATTTGCCATTTCCTCTAAGTTTTGAAATTTATTGGTGCTAATTTTCATTTTGATTTCACCTTTGACCCAAGAATAATTTAAGTATGTTATTTTGTGTCCAAATATTTTGGGAGTTTTCCAGACGACTTTCTGATACTGATTTCTAATTTAATTTCATGTGGTCAGAGAACATACTTTCTATAATTTGAATCCTTTTAAATTTATGGAGCCTTAATTTTGGCCCAGGATATGGTCTATCTGGTAAATGTTGTGTGTGCACTTGAAGAGTGTGTATTCTGTTATTGTTAGGTGTAATTAAGTCAGATTGGCTGATAGTGGTGTTCGCGTCACTTATTTCCTTATGATTTTCTGTACACTCGCTCTATCAGTTATTAAGAGAGAAAGAGGGTGACCTCTCTTGACGATAATTGTAGATTTGACTTTCTCCTTGAAGTCCTATCAGTTTTTTCTTCAAGTATCTTGAAGCTCTTTTATTTGGTACATTAATATTTAGGATTGTTATGCATTTAATGAATTGACCCTTTATCATTATGATGGTATCCCTGGATATAGGCTTTGCCCAAAGTTTGATGTTAATATAGCTACTCCTGTTTCGTTTGATTGTTATTAGAACGTATATCTTTTCATCCTTTTATTTTTAATCTATTTGTGTTTATATTTAACATGGATTTCTTGTCTCTCTTGCTTTTTAAAAATCCATTCTGAAAATCTCTGCTTGTTAGTGCAGGTGTTTAGACCGTTTACATTTAATGCAGTTATTGCTATGGTTATAATTAAATCTACCATCTATTCTTCTCTCCTTCCTGCCTTATTTTGGATAATTTTTTATGATCCCATTTTATCTTATTTGTAGGCTTATTAGCTATGCCTTTTTTGTTTTGTTTTTGTAGTGATTGTTTTATGGTTCATAATATATATCTTATTGTCAACTATTCTCACTTTGTACAATACTGTGTTTACTAAAATTTGTGCATACAAGAATCTTTTCACTTTGCATGATTTTTTGGTAACAGTTACTTTGCCAGTGAAGGTCACAGTTTTGATGTGCCCAAGTTTCAGTTAACACAGTACCATGCAAAGTAAGGACTACTTATCATTTCGCGTATGGTATAAAAATCTTATACTTCCTTTTCCATTTCCCCTCTACTAGCTTGGCCTTTTGTGCTACTGTTGTGATTCATGTTATTTCTACTTTTGTTGTTTCCACAATATGTTATGATTTTTACTTTAAACAGTATGATTTAAAAATAAGAAAAATATTTATCCACATTTACCAATTTTTGTAAATGTTCATTCCTTTGTGTATAGATTCAGATTTTTATCTGGTATCATTTTCCTTTTGCCTAAAGAACTTCTTTTAATATTTTTTGTAGTGTCAATCTGCTGATGATAAATCAATTCTTTCCGGCTCTGTGAACTAAGGGGATTGTTCTGCCTGCTCACTTTGGGCAATTCTTTTTCCAGCCTTAGGTAGTTTCCTCACATGCCTGCACTGATCAGTACTCAACTGAAGACTTGAGGAGGTTGCTTCTATAAATCTCTGAAGCTCTCTGTTTATACAGCTTTCTCCTCATTGTTACTCTGCTCTGCAAATTTTAGCTGTCTCGATCCCCCAAAACTCCCAACTCCTTTTCTACTCAGGCTGACTCCCAGGCTCCACCTAAGTTTCCTGTCTCTGTACTGTCACTTGGAAGCTTTCCAGGCAATAAGATGGGGCAGTCAGAGGGTATATGTTGTTCTCCTCCCTTTCCCCAGGGATCACTGCTCCATGCTGCCTGTAGTCCAGTGTCTGTAACCATTGTTTTCTGTATTTATTTTTTCTTTTTAGTTGTTTAAGGAGGGAGGATAAATCCAGTCCACGTTACTCTGCCCTTACTGAAAGCAGACATTTATCCATATATCATATTTTTATGAACAAAATTTTTCTTATAGTAAACATACAATTTTTGTATACTTTTTTCACTTAACAGTGTGTTAATAACATTTTCATGTTCTCCATACTATGAATAGTTTTGAGTAGTTTTGAGTTAGAAGTATATGAATGCATACAATATTTAGCCCTATGTTGATAATTAGGTTATTTTAGTTTTTCACTGTTAAAGCATCTGATGTTCTAAAAGTTCCCAATATCTTGATCATAGTGCTCCTGATATGGAAGATATATTGACTGAATCAGAAATTAAATTGGATGGTGTCAGACAAAAGATATTCCAGGTAGCCCAAGAGCTATCAGGGGAAGATATGCATCAGTTCCATCGAGCCATTACTACAGGTAAGTCTAGGTTTGTTTCAGGGTAATATATATTTTAAATGGTGTGCTACATGATTAACATGTGAGTTGCATGAATTTTAAGTGACACCTGATGAAATAATAATACTGGCTTTTAAAGAACTGCAACTTTGTAGTAATATAGAAGTAATCCAAAGGCAAGTTGGCTTTATGTTTTTTTTAACAGTGTAGTGATGGTCATTGATTGATTTTAATAAAGTATTTGAGAACACAGATTTAATAGGATGAACTTTATTCTTGAGTATGTAGGATGTGTTCAGACAGGGCACATCTCAGTGGTGGCTCACGCCTGTAATCCCAGCACTTTGGAAGGCCGAGGCGGGTGGATCACCAGGTCAGGAGTTCGAGACCAGCCTGGCCAAGATGGTGAAACCCCGACTCAACTAAAAAATACAAAACTTAGCCAGGTGCGTTGGCGGGCGCCTGTAATCCCAGCTACTCCGGAGGCTGAGGCAGGAGAATCACTTGAACCCGGGAGGTGGAGGTTGCAGTGAGCCGAGATCGCACCACTGCACTCCAGCCTGGGCGTCAGCACAAGACTCCGTCTCAAAAAAAAAAAATTTTGAGGGTATACTGGATCTTGGTGGTTATCATTATTTTCAAATAAATTGAATAAATGTATAAAGTGCTTGGTTCTTTCCTCTTTCTTCTTTTTCTAATGTGGGTTCATTGATAGGACAGATACTAGATAATTCAGATACAGGTTCAGTATCCCTTATCCAAAATGCTTGGGAACAGAAGTGTTTCAGATTTTGAGTGTTGAAATATTCACAGTTTACTGCTTGAGCATCTCTAATCCAGGAACCTGAAATGCTCCAATGAGCATTTCTTTTAAGCATGACCTTTGAGCATCGTGTCAGCACTCAAAACGTTTTGGATTTTGGACCATTTCGGATTTAGGATTTTTGGATTAGGAATGCTCAATATCAGTACCCTAAGATTTGCAGGAAGACTGGGAAATGAGTTTATTTGGTATCTGCTTAATACGAATACCCAGTTTTAGCCTAAACGTTTATAATTTCAGCACTTGTTTTTTCAGAAATGTTGATATGTCTTCTAATATGGGTAAGAGAAAGTACCAGCATACATTAGTTAAAACTGAGGGTGCATTGTTGGAAACTGAAGTGTAAAACAGTTCTGTGAGGAGTCATTATAACATATTACCAAATGAAATACAGTCTGCCATCATAATTTATTAATATCAGGGGTTTATTTGATTTCTTAATAATAGCACACACAATAAAGATGACTTCATGAATTTAGTTTGTTGTAAAGTGGCACAACCTGTAAAGTGTGACAGATTTGGCTGGAGTGGGAGACAGGATCAGAAGTACTGGTGGGAAGAAGGGTGAAGTAAAAGGTAAATCAAGCTTGGCAGAAAACATGAGAATATCTTTATAATAGTAGCTGTGACCATACTACAGATAGATTCATAGCAGGAAAATATTTCAGACAGAGTAGTCCTGCTATACATAAGTTAGGTATGCGTGTGTAATCTTGAGGGCTACTGGGTGGTAGTGTTGGTGGTGGTGGGGGACCAAGTTAGGTCTCTTAGTTTCTGGAAAGTGCTTGAACTGAAGCAGCAGTACAGTCTAAATGTCTGTATTAAACAGAAATCCAATTCTACAGCTTTTCCTAAGTATCCTATTAACCTGAATGACTAAAGGCAAGAGTTTGAATAACTTCCATAATCTTTATCATTTTTTCTATCACATCATCATGTAGTATGCCTATCTTGCAAAAATTCATGACAGTTAATAAATGTAATAAAAGCTGATCACAGTAGTTCTCACTTTGGACTTCAGTCTGCTTAAAACTTGTATTTTAATAAAAATTCACATATTTTCCCCAAAATGTTGGTGCCTCATGTGTGAAAAAGTTTTTCATGTTTAGACTTCTCAATTCCTTATTAGTGCATGATTAGGCTCTACTAATTGTGACAACATCAAGTTCCCCAAATATCTGTGGGACATATGGGACATTTCAGATTTGCTGTATTTGGCCCAGTAGTTCTATTTTGTATGTCCTCATGCATCAGTGAAGTATAAAGATAAAGAGTTTAAATAAGGGCCAAGGCCATATAGATAATGATACCAAAAGCAACCTAGAAAGCTGTACATTGTCTTACAGAACAGAGAAATGGAGAGAAAAAGGTGAAAGGGAAATATTCAGTAGATTATTTCCTAATGCAGGAAGGAAGTGCTGTACTCTTGGAAAGATAGGACATTAAGAAAATGGGAATGATAGATCTTCAGATTTTCCTACTTCACTGTATCATTGAGGATTATTATAAGCACAGTGGTCTCTTTTAGGCCTTCGTTTATGATTTGTAAGTTTCCTTTGAAGATAACTTACTCATGGATTAAAATAATGAAGGATTTTCTGTATCTTTTCTGTAAAAAGTCTTTAAAATGAGATTCTTTGAATTGAAGCAATAAAGATGTTTTTTCTTAAAGTTAAGGAATAAAGCAGTCAAGTAAAGAGGTGTCTAGGACCGAAAATTTTGCTGACAGATATTTTATTTGATAAAATAAGGTTATTTATAATTGGATTAGCATTAACAATATGATGCTTATGAATAGCTTGCTGCTTGTAATTGTTAAATGCTTGTTTTGGTATTACTCCAAATAGTTGTTCTTTTGACTTGAAGATAAAACAATTCTGGCAATGAACTAAAGGAGTTCTGTGCTTTTCCTCATTAAGAATAGTGCTAATGGCACGCAGAGCATTTCCCTAAGGGATACTTGTGTGAGCTCAAACATTGAGTATCCTAATAATTGAACAACAACAAAACGTCAGGTCTGTTTTCTACACATTTCTTATCAGAGTAGATTACAGATTGTCCCAAGGGATGGTTAAACAAATGAACAAATAATTAGCTGCTTGAAATAAGTCTTTAAAAAAAAATTTGTGTCCTGTCATTTTTTTTTTCCCTCTTGTTGAAAAATTAACAGTTTGGGGGAAATGTCCTCCATTTCAAAGAAGAAATACATGTTTTTTTCTTAAGTTTAGTTTATATCACTGATAATGATAAGAATTGTCATTTTTTGAGACATTTCGGTACACAAAACTAAGTTTATATCCTAATTAATGTTTTAATTCTTTTATCCAAGAATGTGAATGATGGGTAAAGTGGATGTTTTGGGCCAGTTAAGATATGTTTTTAGCCACTATTCTTTATATTCACAATCTCATAGGTTTTTGCAATACCTCTAAATCATAGATATTTTTACCACTTCACAGGCGGGGAGATTGAGGCTCACAAGTTATGCTCAGGGTCATAAGCTAGCACGTGGTACCATTGGTTTCTTCCCACATGGATTTCATTTACCTCTTAACTTTACAACCTAACTCCTAGCAAAGGCTTTATTTTGCTTACCCCAAATACTGAGGTTTTCCTCATAAACCCAGCACACACTGTGGCCCTTTTTTCATAGCACTTCTCAACTTCTAATGTGTAATCTCTTTATATATTATATTTCTTCATTATCTCTCTTTCCCTTACTAGAATGTAGACTCTATAGATCTCTACAAAGATTTCATTCCTGTTTTTCACTTTATATATCCCAGACACCTAATAAGTCTCCCGAAATACAAATGTTGAAAAGAATGAAGAACAAAACTAATTTTAAAAGGCTTTTTGTTGTTGTTCAGCCATATGCTTTATCTGATGATTTGCTTTCACAAGTTTATATTTTACTGTTTTTTGTTTCTTCCGAAAGAAAGCAAGTTTCCAGGAGCTATTTCTTAGACATACTAGCAGGAATAGGATCAATATTAATGTTTAGGGAAGTTCCAAAGCTACTATAGCAGTACAGAGAAATTCGATGTAGGTTCAGCATATTGGCAAAATTGTGAGTGCCCACTGGAAAAATGAACTATGATGTGAATCTCTGTAAGCTTTTGGAGTAACAGTAGGAAGAGTGTAGTGGATGGAATAATATAGCTAAAAATTGAATTTATCTGTTAATGAGTGAGATTAAGAGAGAAGTACCAGAGATGTTGGTTAGTTAAGGTAAAGCTAAGTGCAGAAACAGATTAATAAACTGTGACGTTGCAGTGACTTAACAAACTAGAAATCGTTATCTTTCTCTCTTGAAGACCAGGCTTTGTAGTGGTAGTTTGAGTGTGCTCTGCCCACTTAGTTATTCACAGATCCATGCTCTCTGGGGCTCTGCTGTTACCAGTACATGATTTCCAAGATGAGCCAGGGCATCAACATAGAGCTGACAGATTGTGGAAAAGGGAGGAGTGGGGGATGGCGCCTGAGGATTTTATGCACCAGCCCTGGAAGTGGCATGGAGCACTTCTGCCCACATTTTGTTGGCTAGTCACATGGCCACACCAGCCTTAAGGAAGAATGGGAAATACGGTCTCTGTGCGTGCCAAGGAAAGCAAAATATGTTTGATGAATAGTTAATTTTTCTCTGCCTGATATGGTAATTTGATGTTCTTTTGGTGTAATAGAAAATTCAGGTATATGTCTGTTGATTGATTTAACATTTTTTTCTGAATAGATTTTTCTTTTGTTTGAAAGCATTCATTTGTCTGTTTGAAAGTGATTTTATAACTGGTGAGAAGACTTTTAGTTCTACTACCTAATTTTGTAAATGAGGTGAGTGATAGTATTGGAATTGGAATCCGACTTGTTTCATCTACTCTGATAGACTTTCTGCTAGACTATTATCCATCTCTGATAGCTAGTATCTAGTGCTTTAAACTGTTTTATCTAAAGCTAAAGGCTTTTTCTTTTTTTTTTCTTTTTTTTTTTTTTTTTTTGAGATGGAGTCTCACTCTGTCGCCCAGGCTGGAGTGCAGTGGCGTGATCTCGGCTCACTGCAAGCTCCGCCTCCTGGGTTCACGCCATTCTCCTGCCTCAGCTTCCCGAGTAGCTGGGACTATAGGCAAATGCCACCATGCCCAGCTAATTTTTGTATTTTTAGTAGAGGTGGGGTTTCACTATGTTGACCAGGCTGGTCTCAAACTCCTGACCTCAACTGATCCACCCACATTGGCCTCCCAAAGTGCTGGGATTACAGGCCTGAGCCACCGTGCCCAGCCAATTTGCTGTTACTTCTTAGCAAACCAAAAAGTATTTGAGAATTGTAGTACATATTGACTTAGGATAACATTTTAGAAGAATAACAGCCCCTTTCAATTGTAAGCTAATAAAAGGGAAAAGAAATCCAAGGAACAAAAAACCATTGCTTTCTTTTTTTTTTTTTTTTTTTGAGACAGTCTCACTTTGTCGCCCAGGCTGGAGTGCAGTGGCACGATCTTGGCTCGCTGCAAGCTCCGCCTCCCAGGTTCATGCCATTCTCCTGCCTCAGCTTCCCGAGTAGCTGGGACTACAGGCGTCCGCTACCACGCCCGGCTAATTTTTTGTATTTTTAGTAGAGACAGGGTTTCACCATGTTAGCCAGGATGGTCTTGATCTCCGTGATCCGCCCGCCTTGGCCTCCCAAAGTGCTGGGATTACAGGCATGAGCCACCGCGCCTGGCCACCATTGCTTTCTTTAAAGACATTATAAAATATTGTCTAACAAAAATTAATGGCAGTAATTCTTATTTTATTCTTCTCATAGTTTAATTTAGTAAACAGATACAAAGGGCCCTTATACCAGACACTGATAACATTATTCTGTATAAACCCTACTATGTAAACAGATGCCTGCACTTTACAGATGAGAAAATTGGAGCACAGTAAAATGAGTAAACTTAACTCAGTTCACACTGCTTGCAAGAGACTTAGCTTTAGAACCTAGGACATCCTCCCTTCAAGTCTCTGCTTTCTGTTTTGCCATTATCATATTTTATTCAGTGGGAAGCTAGAGGCAGAGAGGTGAGGCAGTTGTAGTGGTCCTTCTTGGAGTGAAATGAATAGGGCCTCAAGTTTGGTGTTAGCAGTGGGAATAGAGAGGAATGGGCATGTTTTTAGAAGACAGTTTATTTTTAAAAAGCAGAAAGGGAATAGTCTAGGGATGCCTTTAGGTTTCTGGTTTGGCCAACTGGATGAATAGGAATGTTATTTGTTAAGAGGAGAAAACAGGAAGGTGGAATGGGTTTTGGAAAAATTAATTGGAAATCTTAGGACGTACAGGTTGCTGCCTAGGAGGCAATTTGATACGTAGGTCTACAGAACTCAGGATGCATCTGCAGTTACAGCCTTGGAGTCATGAGCTTATAAATTGTAGTTAATTTTAAAGACATGGATAAGATTGTCTAAGGAGAGTGTAGAGTGAGAATAAAACCAAAGGCTGGGAACCTTAACTAAAGGAAATACAATATAATATTTAAGCGAATAATATCCCTGAATAATCAAGACCTGAGGATGGGATCCAGAGCTTAAGCCTTGTATGACAGGACAGCTCCCTCTTCCCAGATGGGCAGTTACAGATGGGTAGTTACAGATGGGTATAGAGGTAGGGAATTGAGAAAATTCTTGCTCAGTCACTTCCATTTTCCTGTCATGTGCTGAGAAAAGGGGATGTGGTGGGGAAATGGTATGGAATTGATGGGAGACTGGAGATTTAAGAATGACTCTGATGGCTCACGCCTGTAATCCCAGCACTTTGGGAGGCTGAGGTGGGCGGATCACAAGGTCAGGAGTTCGAGACCAGCCTGACCAAAGTGATGAAACCCCATGTCTATTAAAAATACAAAAATTAGCTGGACATGGTGGCGTGCACCTGAGGCAGGAGAATTGCTTGAACCCAGGAGGCGGAGGTTGCAATGAGCCGAGATTGCACCACTGCACTCCAGCTTGGGAGACAGAGTGAGACTCCGTCCCCGCCCCCAGCCCAAAAATAAAAATAAAAGAATGAATGTGAGTGTAATGGGGATGGGAACTTAACCAGGAATATTTAATAGTTGCTGTTAATCATTTTTGAAAGTTTACCTGAGCAATAAATATAATCCTTTCTGTATAGCAATAGGAATGAATGAGGCAGAAAGTTAGATTAATTCATGGTTTGGGTCGTGCTCATTATTTGGCAGTAGGATGACAGTGGGAGAAGTAGGAAAAGATAAGCAGCCTGCTGCATTATTGTGGCCATGTTTGTTGTTAAAATAGAAATACATCCTTCTTTGTTTGTTGGTAAGTAGTATATTGTCAACTGTGATGAGTAGTAAAATTAATAATACAAATTTCAGCACATGTGGTTTATCTCAGAAGCCAAAGGTGCACCGATTCCAAGATACTATATTAGTTTACTAGGCCTGTCATAATAAAATACCACAGACTGGGTGGCTTAAACAGAAATTTATTGTCTTGCAGTTCTGGAGGCCTCAAGTCTGAGATCGAGGTGTTGGCAAATTTGATGTCCCCTGAGGCCTCTTTCCATGACATGCAGATGGCTATCTTTTCCCTGGGTCTTCACATGGCCTTGTGCACACGTGCACACACATCTCTGTTGTCCCTGTGTGTCCTAATATTTCCTTATGTCACCAGTCATATTCGATAAAAGTACACCTCAATGGACTAATTTTAACTTAATCCCCTCTTTAAAGACCTTGTCTGCAAATACACTCACATTCTCAGGTACTAGAGGTTAGGGCTTCAACATATAATCAGCATATTTGGGGCAGCCCAGTTCAGTCCATAACAGATACTTTTTGGTTTGTGCACTGCAGCTAGAGGATGAGCTACAAATGTTACTTTGGAGTGGAGGGACTGGGGAGTTGCTTTTAAGTCCAGGGGTGGGTGGGGGTGTTGTGTTGTGCAGCTGAGCTGTGGACTTCTTTTGTAAACCCCCAAAAAGAGGTGCCTTAAGGGGAGAAGCAAATAGTGTCTGATGACTCTACTGGGAACCAGGGATATAAACAGATATTTCATGCAGAGCATATTCTCTCAGGCTGCGTTTATAATCTCAGGTAGGTTCAGGAAGCATTGCTTTATTTGAGGCATGGCCCCCTGGTGGAAAGAGAAGTGGCTGTCTCTGCACATAAGGGAAAGAGTCTGGGGGAAGGGAGCCTTATTGATAACCATCACAGGACAGCAGGCATCCCAGCAAGTGAGAACACAGATTTTCTTTCTTTTCTTCTTCCTTCCTTCCTTTTCCTCTTCTACTCCTTTCGTCCCCTATTGGTTGGAGGAGAGAGTATGATGAGAGAGGAACAGAGACTAAAGGAATGGTTGGGGGAATTGGAAGCTGACAATGGGGGCAAGCCTGTGTGAATCCCCTACATTGGCAGGAACCCAGTTGCCTGATAACTGTCATTTTAATGGAGGAGGTCATAGGAAGAGTTTGATGATACTTTGCATATCAAATCATGGCTCAGACAAGGGAAGTCAAAAGCCCTTTCCAACAGCATCTAAAAAATTAAGAAATGATTTGAGAATTATTGGAATGATTTGAGGAATAATTTGTTATATTTTATATCACTTGGTAAGCAGTTCTATAATATAGTTTAGTGTATTAAGAAAATAAAAATATATTTAAAATTTGGGATTTATATTTATTTATATAGTACTTTATATTCCTGTTAAAATATCTTGAATATGACTCCAAGGGACAAGGTAGTTGAAAGTGCAGATGAGTTATTTAAGTGGCTATTATAAGGATTAAGCAAGATAAGAAGAGAATGTGGTCCTTTGGTATTAGGAAAGTCAGTTTTAGAAGATCCCCAGATTGGTCTTAACTTTTCTAGTCTGTGAGGTCTCCTTGTAAGAGGTAAGGCTTGCTCAGTGAGGTGAAGTAGAAAGAGATCAACTTTGCCATCAGACCTGGGCTTTTATGTTTTAATATTCCATATCGCTGTAACCTTGGAACAAAGTGTACAACCTATTTGAATTTCAGCTTTCTTTCCTTTAGCATGAGAACATTAATAGCTACCTCCTGGATTTTTTGGAAATTAAATACATTTATGGAAAGCATTTATTTTGTTTGGCATATAACCATTAACAAATGTTCATTCCTGACCTTTCTTGAATTTAGCAAAATTAATCTATAATATTGTACTAAATTTTAACATTTATTTTCATTTTGGATAAAAACTCAGTGGTACCAATTTGCTCAATACTCGTTCTTCAGTGCTGATGTAAAAACCCTGCCTAGGGCTGGAAGTGGTAGCTCATACCTGTAATCCCAGCACTTTGGGAGGTCATGGTGGGAGGATCACTTGAGACCAGTCTGTGCAACTTAGCAAAACCCTGTCTCTACAAAAAAGTAAAAAAAAAAAAAAAAAAGTAAATAAATAAAAATAAAAACACCATTAGCTAGGCATAGTTGCTTGCTCCTGTAGTCCTAGTTACTGGGGAGGCTAAGGCATGAGGATCGCTTGAGCCAAGGAGTTTGAGGCTGCAGTGAGCCACGATTGTGCCACTGCACTCCAGCCTGTGTGACAGAGCAAGATCATGTCTCTTTTTAAAAAAAGAAAGACCCATTCCAGGCGCGGTGGCTTACGCCTGTAATCTCAGCACTTTGGGAGGCCAAGGTGGGCGAATCACCTGAGGTCGGGAGTTCGAGACCAGCCTAGACAACATGATGAAACCCCGTCTACAAAAGTTAGCTGGGTGCGACAGCAGGCACTTACAATCCCAGCTACTCGGGAGGCTGAGGCAGGAGAGAGAATCACTTGAACCCAGGTGGCAGAGGTTGCAGTGAGCCAAGATCGTGCCACTGTACTCCATCCTGGGCAACAGAGCCAGGTTGTCTCAGAAAAAAAACCAAAACAAACAAAAAAACCCTACTCAGACAAAATCCAAATTAGTGGAATTCTATTTAGAGTTTACTGTTGGTAGTATAAGCACACATACTTTACAAAGCTGAGGCATATAGATATATTTATTTTCAGTGTGCACTTCATGTATTTGAAAGTAGATTTTTAGCAGAGTGGCCTGTGAATCCAATATAAATCTGATTTCATTTTAACATTTCAGTGATTGATTTGGTGACGCTAACTTGTTTTAAAAATTCATGTGGTACCAGAGAAATAGTTACAAGTGCAGTTTTTAAAAATTGAGACATTACATACCACATAATTAAATTTTAAATTGAATAATTCATTTGTTTTTACTGTTTCCACAAGGTTATGTACTTATCACTGTCTAATACCAGAACATTTCATCACGCTCAAAAGAAACCTCCTACCTATTAGCGGTCATTCCCCATTCCCCGTTCTCCTAATACCAGGGTTAGCCCCTGGTCACCACTAATCTACTTTTGTCTCTATGGTAATTTGTCTATTCTGGATATCTCATATAAATTGAATCAAACCATGTATGGCCTCTTGCGTCTGGTTTCTTAGAGCATGTTTTCAGAGTTCAGCTATGTCATAGCATGTATCTGTATTTCATTCCTTTTTAATAGCTGAATTATAGTCTGTTTTATGGATATACTGTATTTTGTTAATCTATCATCAGTTGGTGGACTTTTGGGTTGTTTATACTTTTTGGCCTTTGTGAATAATAACTGCTGTTAATATTTGCCTACAAGTCTTTGTGTGAATATATGCTTTCAGCTCTTTTGGGTGTATATACCTAGGAGCGGAATTACCGAATCATATGTTAAACAATTTCTGAAAAAGCATTAAAAACCAAGAAACAAAGTTGAGTCATGTGAGGTTCAAATTTATAATGAAACCTTTGTCATATCTGTTTGCTTTTATATATAGTTTTTGATGGAGATTTGGACTGGATGTATATTGCTTAAATATTAAAGGAATATGTAAAAATAATCAGAAGCCTTTAACTGGGTTTCCCTGTTATATGTTCTAATGGGAGAACAAGGAAAAAAATAACAATTTACATAAAAGCAACCTACAGACTTCTCTCTTACTGGCAGCTGATTCTGTAAATAATTCTAATTGGATTTCATCCAAGGCTAAGACAGAAGGGGAAGGCATTGTTTGATGGAATATGGCAGTACGTTGAAAATTTTCACCTTGGGGATTATTCACTGAAAATAGCGGATGTCCTTTTTATCAGGTTGAAACATAACTTGTTTAAACATCCTCTTACCTACATGTGACCAAAAATGCTTTTCAGTGTTTTGGGCCAGATGTCCTTGAACTTTCTCCACATTATAGCATGAAACCTAATTTCTTTCTTTCCTTTTTTTTTTTTTTTTTCTTTGAGATGGAGTTTTGCTCTTGTTGCCCAGGGTGGAGTGCAATGGCGAGATCTCGGCTCACCACAACCTCTGCCTCCCAGGTTCAAGCGATTCTTTTGCCTCAGCCTCCCGAGTAGCTGGGATTACAGGCATGTGCCACCACACCCGGCTAATTTTGTATTTTTAGTAGAGACGAGGTTTCTCCATGTTGGTCAGGCTGGTCTCGAACTCCCAACCTCAGGTGATCCACCCACTTTGGCCTCCCAAAGTGCTGGGATTACAGGCGTGAGCCACCACGCCTGGCCCATGAAATCTAATTTCTATGGAGCAAAAATGGCCACCTCATCTCTGAAGTAACTTTTGTTAACACATTTCAAGGACAACTTATATAATGACTAGATATACTTGAAAATTAAATAACTGACACTCACCCATATTTAATAGAGATTGACACCAAAGATAAATTTTGAGGACTCTTATTCCATATTCTCTCTTTTCCCTATTAAAAAATAAATCAGGACCTCAAATTCTGCCCTTCATCAGTTTGAACACTAACCTTGTTAGAAAGTATTTTAACTTAAGTACAACTAGATAGTTCTGAATAATTGAATACCAAATTTTAAAATATTTTTTTTGTTGAGGCACTTAGTTTCATAGACCTTGGTGAGGAGAAACAGATTATTAGAAGGAATTTACGGGAAAAAGTTGAGTCTCTTGTACATATGAGTTGCTATCTTTGGGAGAGGGCCAAGGAGCAAAGTCGTCTGGGCATTGTCCCCACCCTCAGAGTTCTAGGGTGCAAAATAGGTGATCAGACAGCTGTTTGTAATCTAAAACTGACTGAAACATTTAATTGAAGTACAAGTTTTATATAGTGAGAATGAAGAGACGAGTGCCGCCTTGATTGGGGTGTATTAAAACATTTAAACTATTGTTGTAGGTAGAGAAAGATGTGAGAGAAGGCTTCATAGTCACAGAATGACATGGAATCATGAAAGTATATAGTGTGTTTGGAAGACTACAGAATAAGGTTAAGCAAAACATGGAGAAAAGCTGAACCAGGAATTTAGTGTGGAAAAATGTTGAGAAAAATGGGTATGTTTTATATGGAGATGACTGTCAAGAAGCAGGTAAGATGGGAAGGGTGTGAGCTTTTGAATTCTAGAAACTTTCACTATTTACTGTGTGACTTGGCTGAATTTCTTAACTTCTCTATGCCTCAATTTGTTCATTAAGGATAGTAATAGTCACATAAGGTTATAGTGAGCATTAAAAAGATGGATGTAAAGTTCCAGATCCATACTCTTAACATGTAGTAGACATTCAAGACTTAGTAAACTATTATTTTATTTTTAAAAAGTTTGTTGAGGGCTTCTGGGTGATACCCCTAAATAATTGAAAGCACGACTTGAACAGGTATGAATAGTCATGTTTACAGCAGCATTACTTAGAAAAGCCAAAAGGTGGAAGTGACTCAGTTGTCTCTCTATAGATGAGTGAATAAACAAAGTGTGGTATATGCATACAATAGAATATTATTCAGCCTTAAACAGGAAATTCTGACATATGTTACAACGTGGATGAAGCTTGAAGACATTATGCAAAGTGAAATAAGCCAATCACAAAAGGGCAAATACTGTATTTGTTACTTACATGAGGTACCCAGAGTAGTCAAAATCATAGAGACAAGAAAGTAGAATGGTGGTTGGCAGGAGCTGAGGGGAGGAGGGATGGGGAGTTAGATTAAGAAATGCTAGGTCCAGAGTTTCATTTTGGAAAGATTAATACAAGAATTCTGTAGATGAATGGTAATAATGGTTGTACAACATTATGAATGTATTTAATATGCTAAACTGTACACTTAAAAATGGCTAAGCTGGTAAATGTTATGTTTGTTTTACCACAATTAAACGGAGAAAAAATAAAAATGAAACTGCTAATTTTTAAAAAAATCAAACGAATTCTAACCACTTCAGCTCTTTAAGCAAGATGCCATAATTCATTTTGTTGGGAGTAAATATTGCTTACTGTATTGCAGTATTTGGCTTACAGAGATGATTGGAGTAAAAGCACATCTTAAGAGTTTGCTCCTGCTCAAGGAAAGACTGAAATTCCTGTTTTCCTAGGTCCTCTGTGATAATTAAGGATTTTGTCCCAGGGTAGATGTCCATTTGTAGAATAGAGTCCTTAAGGAGTTTTTGGACATGCAAGAGTAGAAATGGAGCTAAGTTGAGGGGAGGAACCAAAGAGCCTTGGATAATGAAAGATGAATAATTTTAAATTTCATAGTTGCACAATGGAAGAGGGGAAAGAAAAGCAATAGACAATCAAAAAGCAAAGTACTATTTTTAAAACTACTCCTGCTTCTGAATGAATGTTATTGAACAAAGATGACAATTACGGAGACAATGATATGGTAAAATATCATGCATTTGTCCATGGAAGAAAAAAGTTTGTTCACCTTCATTAGTTGTAAAAAGTTGTTTTGTCCGTGAGTCAATTCAAAACATGGAAAATGGTTTTAGTGAATTTATTTTTAAAAATAATTTGTAATTAGTAAAATCAACTAGGTACAACTAAATGCCAGGCCTGGGCCTCAGTTGTAAAAGTACTAGATGCCATGATCTTGATGGTACTTTTAAAATTTGGAATATTTTGAACTATTCTTCCACTGAAATATGAAAAAAAAAGTACTTGAATGAAACTAAACTATATGGCAGCCAAACAGAAATGCTATTTGTTTCTGCAACAAGGCACTGCTGAATGATACAGAATATTAGTAGTATGTTGTTGCTAAAGTGTTTGTGGTCTTATCAACAGCTACATATGAAATAATACTAAATTTAACAAATAGGATCGACAGTGTTACATTGGGCGAGATGGAGAGAATAACAGCCCCCTTTCCATGTAAGGCTGCTTATCCTGTTTGTTGAATTTAATATTATTCAAGGCTCAGGAAAATATGTGTGTATTGCCTTCAACTGACATAGTTCTACTTTTTATACTGTCTCCCTACCTACCTATTGCCATGTATAAGACAGGCACCTTGCCAGTTGTGTTTGATTCTGACCATTTAAAGCAGTGCTATTTTTTGCTCAACATGCATACAGATATATGTTTATGTACCCATCTTGGAAATGCAAGCCTTTGTGAGTTATGACTTAACTATAGCATGAATTGAGGCTGATAATGTAAGTGGGGGTGAAATTAAGCATGGTCTTATAAGCCACGTTAATGGTTTTGCCCTGTATTCTGAGCGCCATGGGAAGCTATTTGGGCTTTAAACTGGGGAATGATGTCGTTAACATATTAAAAAGGCAGACAGTCTGCAGTGTGAGAATGGATGTGAAGAGGTCAAGAATAGATGGGGGGAGACCAGGACATGCTTAGAATTGGCAAAACTTGAGAGAACCAGGTTTGGAAGGAAGGTAGTGAGTTCATTGTTGGAAGTGTTGATTTTGAGGTATCTTTGGTAAGGATGTCAGATACTCATTTGGATGTGAGTGCCTGTTGGCCAGAGATGTGAAGTTTAAGGGCAGCAAGGTTACTTGAAACCAAGTATAGATGAACTGGAGGGAACCTAGGACTGATAGAGGCAGAGACTTAAGAAGACATGACTAGAGAGGTGGAAAAGTGGGAAATCAGGAGATGATGCTGTCAAAGGAATCAAAGGAAAACTTGTTCAAAGAGGGGAAGTGGCACAAAATGCTGAATGCTGCCGAGATGAAGACGGAAAGAATGTCCATTAGTCTTATTTATTATGGTAATCTTAGCAAGAACTATTTTGTTTTAGAGATGTACCCAAGCTAGATTGAAGTAGGTTGAGAAGTGTGAGATGAAGTTATTGAGGAAATGATGTAGCCAGCTACTTCAAGAAACTTAGCTCTGAGGAGGAGGAGACAGATGGAGCAATAGTTGAGAGGAAATATAGGGTTCATGGATAGGACAGATCTGAGTGTGTTTCAGTATTTCTGTAAGATTCAGTATAGAACATAAAGTGAGAACACCTAGTATGTTAAAGGGAGAATTCATGTGAAGCTCCCAGCTGGTACTGAATCTTGATCCTGAACCTAATACAGTGACTAGCCACAGAAAATGGAACACCTTCTCTAGGTAGTAGGGCTGAAGGAGAAGTAATACCATTATTTATTTTCCTAATTCCTTATTGTATTCATCAGGCTCCAAACAGGAAACAGAAATTAGATGGTAATATGAACAGGGAAAGTTAAATACAACATACAGACTTATTAACCATATAGGGGATTATAAGAGTAAAAGAGAACTCTAAAGAGTACTGGAATCTCAGATAGAGTGAGCAGCCACTACCCCTAGGGCGGAGGCAGAGCACCCAAGGAACTAAATTTGGCAGAACCCAACCCTCACCCTTCACAGGATGAGGTCCAGACCATGCTGGAGAGGGTGGGCATGTCCCATCGGCTGGCAGAGACATTTGCTGAGCTGTTGTGCTGATGGACTCTCTGGGAAGCTGTCCATGGGGAAATGCCATGGAAAGGAATTCCCTGCCCAAGGAGGTGGCTTACTGGGAAGCCATTCTCTGGAGTACAAAAGAAGCTGTCCCCAGGCAGGTGCTACATGCTGTTGGCCACCTTGAAGTGCTGGCTGCCCCATACTCAGGGCTGTGAAGAGGGGCACAGCAGAACCAGGCAGAGAGCTCTTTACAGTTCTTTAAGCACCTAGCACCCTGTACTGACAAAGCTTAATATATTGCCAGCTGGCATAGGAGACATGCTTTAAGTATCCACCTCCTTCTTCTGAAATAATGGAACTAAGAGACAAAAATTGACAAGTGATACAGCTATTACTGGTCTTTTAACTTTAAAAAATTTTTTTTGCTGTAGTGACAAACATCCTTATATGTAAATCTTTGTGCATATCTTCTTGTTTAGCTCATAAGAGGCTAACCACATTAGAGCATGGAGATGTGATTATGCATCTTTACGTTTTGCTGTTTGCTTTTGTGTGCATGAAGTATCTTTAGAAGGAAATGAGAAATAGAGATTTTCTTTGGGGGGGAACTGGGCGGTGTCACCTATTCATAAAACTAAAAATTCATAAAATTAAACATTTAATTAAAAATATTTTTAATTATAAATATAAATGACATCATCTGTTTTGTTAAACTTAACCTCGTTAATGTTTAATTTCTCAGAACATTATGGTTTGTTAAATTGTCCCTTCTGACCTATATTTGGGCATCATTTGCAGCTCAGAATGAGTCAGGATATTTTCATTTAGTTAAGTTTCCTCTTAGTGCTATCAAAACCAGGGTCACCCATTTTCCCTTGTATCCTGGACCTTTGCCTGGCATTTGATGTGATGATACTACAGCTGTTAGCCTCCCCAACACTGTTGCTGCCATACCAGAAGTGTAGTGGCAGGTGGGGGAGACTTGTGAGTAGCAGGACTCTGTCATAAAAAATGTTAGAGAACTTAAATATCCTCTTAAGTTCTGAGTTTTCTTTGCATAATCAGAAATGTATTCTCTTGCTATTTTTACAACAAACCTTTAAAAAGTTTCTTAAACTAACAATAATAATTAAGAAATGCTTTTTCCCTGTATCACCTTTCAGATTAAGACATCAAATAATATTGAAAATTGTGGCTATAGAATATAGTTTGTTGTTGTTGTTGTTGTTGTTGTTTTTGAGATGGAATCTTGCTCTGTTGCCCAGGCTGGAGTGCAGTGGCACAATCTCGGCTCATTACAAGCCCCACCTCCCGGGTTCACGCCATTCTCCTGCCTCAGCCTCCAAAGTAGCTGGGACTACAGGCACCCGCCACCATGCCCAGCTAATTTTTTGTGTTTTTAGTAGAGACGGGGTTTCACCATGTTAGCCAGGATGGTCTCGATCTCCTGACCTCGTGACCCGCTGGCCTTGGCCTCCCAAAGTGCTGGGATTACAGGTGTGAGCCACCGGCGCCCGGCCAGAAAGTAGTTGTTTTAAAACACTTGGAAAAGTATAGTACTGTAGACATGTAACAAAATTGCACTTGTGCCCTTTACATTTATATAAACATTTTTAAAAGTATTTAAGTTACATTTTGATCTTTACCAAAATTTACTCTTCAATTCAAGGGTTGTTTCTGTCTTGTACAAAATTGTATTGCATAGCTCTCTTTTTTTTTTCTTAAACTACCAAAGCAGAAAGGAGTTATCTAGTCTTAGATCCATTTTGAACTATGAAAAGATAAACGGTATTTTGACACTTACCTACATTAGTTAAAAGTGATTTTGCCTATTAAAACTTTAAGAAAGATCCAAATTATTATTATTATTATTATTATTTTTTTTTTTTTGCGACGAGTCTCGCTCTGCCGCCTAGGCCGCAGTGCAGTGGCATGATCTTGGCTCACTGCAAGCTCTGCTTCCCGGGTTCACGCCATTCTCCTGCCTCAGCCTCCTGTGTAGCTGGGACTACAGGCGCCCGCCACCACGCCCGGCTAAGTTTTTTTATTTTTAGTAGAAATGTGGTTTCACCATGTTAGCCAGGATGGTCTGGATCTCCTGACCTCGTGATCCACCCGCCTGGGCCTCCCAAAGTGCTGGGATTACAGGCGTGAGCCATCGTGAACGGCCCAAATGATTCTTAATTTTATGTCTCATTTGTTTGAATCATTGCTTCGTTACCCAGCAAAATAAAACAAATTAATTTATATAATTTTTATTAAAGCCTATCAAAATTATGGAATAGGCTTTTCTTTTCTCCCCCCCCCCCCTTTTTTTTTTTTTGAGACGAAGTCTCGCTCTTGTCCCCCAGGCTGGAGTGCAATGGTGCGGTCTTGGCTCACTGCAACCTTCGGCTCCTGGGTTCAAGCGATTCTCCTGCCTCAGCCTCCCGAGTAGCTGGGATTACGGGCTCCTGCCACCACACCCGGCTAATATTTTTTGTATTTTTAGTAGAGATGGGGTTTCGCCATGTTGGCCAGGATGGTCTCAAACTCCTGACCTCAGGTGATCCGCCCACCTCAGCCTCCCAAAGTGCTGGGATTACAGGCGTGAGCCACCGTGCCCGGCCAGAATAAGCTTTTCTTAAATCCTAATTACTTAAACTCTTAAAAAAATTTTTTTTCTGGCTGGGCACAGTGGCCCAGAGATTACAGGCGCCCGCCACCATGTCCAGCTAATTTTTGTATTTTTAGTAGAGTTGGGGTTTTACTGTGTTGGCCAGGCTGGTCTCCATCTCCTGACCTGAAGTGATCCACCCGCCTTGGCCTTTTAAAGTGCTGGGATTACAGGCGTGAGCCACCGCGCCTGGTCCCCAGGCCATTCTTTCTATTCTAAGTGTCTAGTCTAGTACTGGCATTGTAGTAGGCATCCATTAAGCTTTTTTTTGAACTAGATGATGATCAATATGAAGTTTTTTTATTATGACATTCTTACTAATTAAGTGCTTATTCTTAGTAATTTTCTTTGTCACGCTTTCAGGACTACAGGAATATGTGGAAGCTGTCTCTTTTCAACACTTCATCAAAACACGATCATTAATTAGTATGGATGAAATTAATAAACAATTGATATTTACGACTGAAGACAATGGGAAAGAAAATAAAACTGTGAGAATTTAAAATTTATTTCACATTTGTTATATAATTTATGTAACAGTATGACGATTCTAGTAGATTTACTGGCTTATGCTAAGATTGAGATGGGAATGTTCTTTCTAAAGTATGGTTTTGTAGAGTCTCAACTAGGAAATGGTCTTTTTAAATATTTCAGTTAGTGGATAGAACAAGAACAACTCTGGGCATATTGGGAAAGTAATGCTCTTTACCTAAAGCATTATGGAGTGCTTACTGTAAGTCCTCTTTTGGTTTTACTCTCTATTTTTCACTTGCCCTTTGTAAGCACTGTCTTATTTAATCCTTTTATTAACCATATGTGGTAAGCATTATTACTCTCATTTTACAGAGAAAGAAACAGACTTTTAGAGAGGTTAAGTAACTTGCCAGAAGCCACAACTAAAAAGTGTGGCAGAGCTAAGATTTGAAGTTAGGTATTTTGAATCCAAGCCTGTGCCCTTGTCCACTCTGCCAGCGCTTCTCACAGTGTGCTACAGGGATCCCTTGCATCAGGTACCTACCTCAAAGGGTTGTTTTAAAGGATTTGACTTAAAGGTTATTAATTAGGCAATATACAGCAGCACCTGACACGTAATATACATTATATACAGCACCTGACACGGAAGTGCTCAGTAGTTTGCCATTATAAAGTAGTTTTTATATAGTGAGAGCTGTTAATCATTTACTCAATTCATAATGCTTATATCTGAAATTTATGTAGCTTTTCTGAATTAAGAAAAACTTTGCAGTTTGACTTTTAAACAAATACTATTTTTTTCCTTCTGGGTTTCAAGATATAACAGGCAGTAAGGTAAGCTGTATTGACTATTTGATACTTTCTGAGATACCAGTACACTTAAAATTAAATATTTTAAAATAATTTATATTATTTAAATAATTGTTTAAATATTAAATTATTAAATTATTAATTTAATTTACTAAATATTAAATATTTAATTATTTTAAAAATTTTCTTTATTTTTTCTTTTAAAAATTATTTTTAAAAACACCATATATTAAGGATAGGTAGGCAGGAGATGGAAGACACTGTAGAAATAATATTTTCTTGAATATCAACTAAAATATTAATACAAATGAGACTAATTTGGCATGACAGGTATAACTTACTTTAAGGAAGCCATGTATTAACTTTAAGTTATATGAAGTGTATTAAGGAGGAAATTTATTTTGAGAAGTAAAATTTCTTCATATTTTTTATTCATATAGTGTAGACTGAATTACACAAAGAAGTAAAGTAGGTCTATTTGACCCTGCTTCTCACGTGATATTAGGGAAGTTACCACACTTTCCTTTAAAGTTCTCTGTGTATCAAAATGAAAATATTGGGGAAAAGGCCAGAAAATTGAGAGTCAAAGTACTGTTTTCAGGACTTAGGTACCAGATTATTTTAAGATTATGGGGCTATAATATTCATATACATGTTTCAAATTGTATAAGACTATGTTCATAAATAAGTTTTAGTGCTAAAGATGCTTGGTGCTGAAATTTCTGGGAATTTGATTGGGAAAGGTATTTTGCTCTGACTTGCCTGTTGAGAATATTGTCAAAACTATTTAATTTTTATTTTAAAAAGTTTTGTGAAAAATTTCAAACATGCAGAAAAATAGAATGGAAACATTAGTGCCACTAACTAGCTATCATATTCCCATAGCTCAACGTCATATTACCTGTGATGTTTCTCGGACCTCATTTCTCATGCTAAATGATGAGGACGTTGCACCAAATGGTCTCTGCAGAGTCCAAACAGTGCTAGGATTCAAGTATTAGATACATAGCAAAGAGTGATCTTAATAAAGCTGTCTCCCTTGTCTCAGCTTATATTTATGTAACTTCCTTTAAACTTTACTCAAAAGAATTATCTCATTAGTTCCTCAAATGCACAATTCTTACCTGTATGCCTTTGTAGTTCCCACTACCTAAAATGTCCTTTGATGTAACTGCAACTTCACCTACCCTTTTATACATACCGTCTTTTAATAACAATTTAGGCATCGTCTCTACCAGAAAGAATTCAGTAGAGGGAAATTGATGTGGAGAGAGATTTCATGATGATATCATGATAGCAGCTAGCATTTGTTGAATATTTACTTTGTGTTGGGCATTATGCCAAGAACTTGGTAAATGTTCTCATTTAACCCTTAAAATAAACCTCTGAGGTAGGTACTGTTATCCCATTTTACAGATGAGGAAACTGAGGTTTAGAGAGATGAAATAACTTGCCCAAGGGCATACACCTTATGAAGCAAGGTCCTGGAAGAGGTGGGAGGAGATGGGTCAAGGTCATTTGGAAGAGTTAACCTCAAACAAGAGGAGGGACAACTCATCATCTGAGACTGGAGGATAGAAGGTAAAGATGGGTGTGGATATAAATTTTTTTTTTTTTTTTTTTTGGTAGGGATAAAGGCAGTTGTGAGAAATTGTGCTAGGTAAGCTGGCAAATGACCAGGTCACTGAAATTGGGCAAGGTTGTCTACTGAAAGTGAAGAGGTTTGGGATTTGAGTAGAGCCCTGAGGAGAGTGGTGAAAGGTTTGAAATTGTGTTTGAAGAGGCTGGAAAGAGAACCATCTAATGATAAGTAAAAGGATTGGAGAGTAATTTGTAGCGGTACAGACTCTGCAGTTGTGATTACCATTTTTTTTTAACTCAGTGAGTGGTACTCAGCCACCTGAATAAAGGACTAATGAGTATATTTTAGTATTGATTGAGGATTCTGTTTTTGCTGGGTAGGTGCAGTAGAAAATATAGCAGTCTAAGGGAATTGAGGATGCAGTGAGAGAATAATAAATTGTGATGGTGAGTGCTGAATAGGGAAAGACAAGAAGCCAGAAAAAGACTGAGCTTCTTAGGAAAACATTAATGGATCACAAACTTGGAGGGCTGTATGGTTTTTCATTTAAGAAAGTAATTGTCGTGCAATAAAGTTATTAAGCCTTGTTCAAGAATATTTTTATTTTGTACATCAAGTGGAGTTGGAAATAGTTGGTTTCATAATGATATATTTCAAAAGTATCTTGAAGTCATCTGGTTCATTTCACTACCCAGGGCACACATTCCTCCTGTAACATCCCAAGTGGTTATTAAGCAAAACAGATTTATTTTATTTAGAAAAAATTAGTATGACTGATTTGCTATTGATTTTGTACTTCTATAATAAATGTGATACATGCTATATTCACTCTTTTTCACAGTGTTCTTTCTTGTGTGTGTGTGTGTGTGTTTTTGTTTTGTTTTGTTTTTTTACCAGCCCTCCTCTGATGCACAGGATAAGCAGTTTGGTACTTGGAGACTGAGAGTCACACCTGTCGATTACCTTCTGGGAGTGGCTGACTTAACTGGAGAATTGATGCGGATGTGTATTAACAGTGTGGGGAATGGGGACATTGATACCCCCTTTGAAGTGAGCCAGTTTTTACGTCAGGTTTATGATGGGTTTTCATTCATTGGCAACACTGGACCTTACGAGGTTTCTAAGAAGCTGTATACCTTGAAACAAAGTTTGGCCAAAGTGGAGAATGCTTGTTATGCCTTGAAAGTCAGAGGGTCAGAAATTCCAAAACATATGTTGGCAGATGTGTTTTCAGTTAAAACAGAAATGATAGATCAAGAAGAGGGCATTTCTTAGAATCTAACGTTACTCAGTTACTAATTCTTTTGAGAACTCCTAAGAGACCAATTTGTAAGACTTATTTAGTATTTCATTTAACTTTATTGTGGCTTTTACATAGAAACATATTCAGTTGTACTTGTTTTAAATTGTATACAAGCTGTACATAAAATTAGCCAAATGAATCATTTCTTATATCTTATTCATGAAAGTTTGCATACAGATGTTTGCATATATGCCTTTTTGAATTTTTGCTGGTTAACCTTTATCATTTATCTTTGTAATGTGAACATGCTTCAGAGTGTACCTTTTGCCATAACCTATTTTAATTTACTTTTTCTGAAGTTTGGAGTGATAATTTTTAGTGGAAGCAATTTGTAATTTAAGTTGGTAGTTATATTATATATAGAAAAGATTTTTTAGTTAAACTTCTGGACATGAGCGTCCTGTTTAAATTTCTTGTTAATATCGTGCCAAGCCTCAAAAATAGGCTTATTCCATGGAACAAGAATTAAAAATGAATAAGCTATCAATATATAATTTAAGTACAAGTTTAGGCTGGGCGTGGTGGCTCACGCCTGTAATCCCAGCACTTTGGGAGGCCGAGGTAGGCAGATCACGAGGTCAAGAGATCAAGACCAGCCTGACCAACGTGGCGAAACCTCGTCTCTACTAGAAATACAAAAATTAGCTGGATATGGTGGTATGTGCCTGTAATCCCAGCTACTTGGGAGGCTGAGGCAGGAGACTCGCTTGAACCTGGGAGGCAGAGGTTGCAGTGAGCCGAGATTGCGCCACTGCACTCCAGCCTGGGTAACAGAGCAAGACTCCATCTCAAAAAAAGAAAGAAAGAAAAAAGAAAGTACAAGTTTATAAAGTATTATAGTGAAAAATTCGCATTCTGGCTGATTTTAAGCCATTTAAAATTTATATAAAACAACCTTCCATAAAAATTTGACAGGTGCCCAGATGTTGCTTTCTCCATTTATTTTTTGTTTTTTTTTAATCACAGTAGGTCTGATAGAGAATTGGAGCTAAATTATAATATTTTTGTTGGTAAAGTTGAGTTATATACTTGTACATACAATGGAAATGCTTTTAGTAGTGATTATTTAGCAATTTTTGTTTTTGTTATATTAGGCATGTTTGGAGGCTTTCCTATTCTAGCATTTAAATTTAAATTTTATTAAAATTAAATAATTTAAATCTAGCATTTAAATTTAAATAATTTAAGTCTAGCATTTACTTTTAAATAATTATAATGAAGTTTTGAAATACTAAGTTAATCCAGACCTTTAGTTGTCCCATGGTGTTAATAAAGTTGCCAAAGAAGATGTATTATGAACAATTCAGCAATAAGACAATTGTCAACACAGTTGAGAATAACAATGGTAATCGTTAGTAATATTTAGAATTGGAATTTGCCTACTGAAATAGTTATAGATGATTACTTGTGATGTGAAACTGAATTGAGCATGACAACCAGACATTTCCAGTTGGTTTTGTAAGTTTTGAGAATCTAGATACTGGGTTTTATTTTTTGAAAGATTAGCTCTGTTTGTAAGGGCTGATTCCTTGAAAATGTAATTTTCCAGAAAAACACCTAAAGAAAATAAAACATGGACATGCCTAGTAAATTCTGTTTTTTTGTTTGTTCGTGTTAGTGATGGTGGGTTTTTTGGTTTTGCAACTCACCTGTAGTCAACTCACTACAGGTGAGTTGGTGCCATTGCTACTGATATATCTCCACAGTTCATGTCATACTAATACTGTGGGTGTTACGCCAACTCTGAGTCTCACTTTTAAAAATACTTACTATGATGGCATCATGTGTGGTAACAGTTTTCATCTTTAATAGAAAAAGAAACTGGTTCTAGGTCACATGGTAAGTTACTGACAAAATTCTGAAAGAATATTGGGTTCTTTCATAAATAATTTCCAGCATGTATTACATCAGTGAATTTTTTTATTTTTTTAGACTTAGTCTCTCTCTATTGCCCAGACTGGAGTGCAGTGGCATGATCTTGGCTCACTTCAGCCTCCACTTCCTGGGTTCAAGCGATTTTCCTTCCTCAGCCTCCCGAGTAGCTGGGATTACAAGCACATGCCACCATGCCTGGCTAATTTTCTATTTTTAGTAGAGATGGCATTTTCATCATGTTGGCCAGGTTGGTCTCAAACACCTGACCTCAAGTGATCCTCTCACTTCAGCCTCCCAAAGTGCTGGGATTACAGGCGTGAGCCACTGCGCGCAGCCTACATCAGTGATTTTTAAAGTACACATTGAGTGCGCTGGGGCTTTTTGAAGGTGTCTCAAAGAAAGATGATATTTAAATTAGATTGGCAGAACAGATTTGAAAATTCAGTCCCTTTATGTCTACATAAGAGTTACTTTAGATTCAGACACACAAGTAGATTGAAAGTAAAAGGATGGAAAAAGATACTCCATGCAAACAATAACCGAAAGAGAGCTAGAGTGGTTATATGAATAATATCCAACAAAATAGACTTCAAGAAAATTATTTTTTGCCAGAAACAACATACAATAAAACACTCAACCCATCAAGAATACGTACCAATTATATACGTGTGTATATACGTGTACACACATATTTCTAACAGAGCCCCAAAATACATAAAGCAAAATTTAAGTGGAGAGAAATAGACAATTCAACAGTAATCATTGTAGATTTCAGTACCCCACTTCCAATGGCTAGGACACCATGACAGAAGATCAGTAAGGAACTTGAACCACTCTGTAGACCAATTGGATTTAACAGACATATATACAGAACACTCCACTGAACAGCAGAATGCATATTTTTCTCAAGTGCACATGAAACATTCTTTGCAAAATTTCAGACCACAAAACATCTCAATAAACTTAAAAATACTGAAATCATACAAAATGTGTTCTCTTACCACAATGGAATGAAACTATAAATCAATAGAAGGAAAGTGGTATAATTTACTAATAGGTGGAAGTTAAACAATGTACTCCTAAGTAACCAGTGGATCAAAGATGAAATCACAGGGAAATTAGAAAATACTTGGGGGTGAATGGAAAGAAAAAGTTGATATACAATAGCATATGGGATGCAGTGGAGCTGTGTTGAGATAGAACTTTATAGCTTTAAATGCCTGCATTTAAAGAAGGTTTCAAATTAATAAGCTAAACTTCAGCCTTAAGAAATTAGAAAAAGAAGGGCAAAGTAAACCACAAAAGAAGCAGAAGAAAGGTAATAAAGATTTTAGCAGAAATACGAAATACAGAAGAGAAAAACAATTGAGGGCTGGGTGTGGCAGCTCACACCTGTAATCCCAGCACTTGGGAGGCCGAGGCCGGTGGATCACCTGAGGTCAGGAGCTCGAGACCAGTCTGGCCAACATGGCGACACCTTGTCTCTACTAAAAAATACAAAAGTTAGTTGGGTGTGGTGGCATGTGCCTGTATTCCTAGCTACTTGGGAGGCTGAGGCAGGAGAATCTCTTGAACCCAGGAGGCGGAGGTTGCAGTGAGCCACTGCACTCCAGCCTGGGTGACAGAGCGAGACTCCATCCAAAAATAATAATAATAAATAATTGAGAATAGCAACAAAACCAAAAGTTGACTCTTCGTGAAGATCAACAAAATTAACCTTTGGCTAAACTGATGAAGAGAAAAAGACTCAAATTACTAAGATCAGGAATGAACGAGGGAACGTTACTACCAACCATACAGAAGTAAAAATGGGCAGTGGTGCGATCTCGGCTCACTGCAACCTCCGCCTTCTGGGTTCAAGCAATCCTCCTGTCTCAGCCTCCCTAGTAGCTGGGAATACAGGTGCACACCACTACACCCTGCTAGTTTTTGTATTTTTAGTAGAGATGGGGTTTCACCATATTGGTCAGGCTAGTCTCGAGCTCCTGACCTCAGGTGATCCACCCGTCTCGGCCTCCCAAAGGGCTGGGATAACAGGTATGAGTCACCACACCCAGCCTTCTTTTCTTTTTTGTAGAGACAAGGTCTTGCTATGTTGCCCAGGCTGGTCTCAGACCCCCAAGCTCAAGTGATCCTCTTGCCACAGCCTCCCAGGAATATACTTCATTCAATAGACTATACCCACAATTATATATAATGCATAATCATATGTGATTATATTTTGCATATAATGTAAGGAGATTCATGGATCCTCTGAAATTCATCTATGGATGCTCTAAAACTATGTTGCTGGAACCCAGATTAAGAACCCTTGTCTCAGCCTCCCGAGTAGCTGGGACTACAGGCGCACACCACTACACCCTGCTAGTTTTTGTATTTTTAGTAGAGGTGGGGTTTCACCATGTTGTGCAGGCTGGTCTTGAACTCCTGACCTCAGGTGATCCACCCACCTCAGCCTCCCAAAGTGCTGGGATTACAGGCGTGAGCCACCGTCCCCAGCGTTAGAGTGTTTCTCTATAGAGAAACATTCATGGCTTTCATATCTTTCTGAAATGGATTTTTGACTTAAGACTTAAGAATCACCTGGTATAGATTGTATTAGGGTTAGGGTTCTCTAGAAGGACAGAACTAATGGAATATATATATATAGAGAGAGAGAGAGAGAGTTAAGTATTAACTCACACGATCACAAGATCCCACAATAGACCGTCTGCAGGATGAGGAGCAGGGAGAGCCAATCTGTGTTCCAAAACTGAAGAACTTGGAGTCCAATGTTCAAGGGTGAGAAGCATCCAGTACAACAGAAAAGATGTAGGCTGGGAGGCTAGGCCAGTCTCTCCTTTCACATTTTTCTGCCTGCTTATATTCTAGCCGAGCTAGCAGCTGATTAGATGGTGCCCACCCAGATTTAAGGGTGGGTCTGCCTTTCCCAGCCACTGACTGAAATGTTACTCTCCTTTGGCAACACCCCCACAGACACACCCAAGATCAATACTTTGTAATCTTCAATCCAATCAAGTTGACATTCAGTATTAGCCATCACATAGATGATTTCTTAAGGTCCCATGCACCATCAAAGGCTTTCCAAACCTATTAGGATTTTAACTAGATGAAGCAGTTCTCAGGATTTATGTAGCATTTGGATTTTCTTTTGTATGTTTTTAAGACAATGAATGAAGTTCTCTTGAACGAGTGTTCCATAGTTGTAGCACCTCATTCCCCTAAAGTTCTCATTTTATAGAGTCACACTGATTTTAATTCAGAGATTACATATTCTGATTTTCTATCTATATATAATTGTATGTCTCAAGAAAAAAATTTTTTTTTTGCCTTTGCAGAATAAAAGGACTATCTATAGTTAATTTTTAGTTATATCATCTTCAGATTTTAAGATAAAAGTCATCCTTACTGGTCTACTTTTTTTCTGGGAAGGTCTTGTTTGTAACCATTGTCAATGATCTTTTGAATAATATAAGCAGTTGCATTTTCCAAATCCTAACTGTTGCTTTAAGAAACATGACAGAGGCATTATTCACAATAGCAAAGACTTCGAACCAACCCAAATGTCCAACAATGATAGACTGGATTAAGAAAATGTGGCACATATACACCATGGAATACTATGCAGCCATAAAAAATGATGAGTTCATGTCCTTTGTAGGGACATGGATGAAATTGGAAATCATCATTCTCAGTAAACTATCGCAAGAACAAAAAACCAAACACCGCATATTCTCATAGGTGGGAACTGAACAATGAGATCACATGGTCACAGGAAGGGGAATATCACACTCTGGGAACTGTGGTGGGGTGGGGGGAGGGGGGAGGGATAGCATTGGGAGATATACCTAATGGTAGATGACGAGTTAGTGGGTGCAGCACACCAGCATGGCACATGTATACATATGTAACTAACCTGCACAATGTGCACATGTACGTAAAACTTAAAGTATAAAAAAAAAAAAAGAAAGAAACATGACAGAACAATATCTGGGTGACATAAAAACACAGAACTCAAAATACAAAACTTTTTTCCATATCCATAATGCCCACAAAAGCCTCTAAGGCTGCCTTTGTCTACCTGATATCACACACACACATGCACACACACAGGAGTTTCTCTGGGACACTTCTTAGTACTTCATGTATGGAGGTAAAATGGATAAAAGACTAGCAACACCAAACAGGCAGAATCCTAATGGCACTGCCTCTTCAGGAATGAAGATTTGGGTCACCCACCAGTTAAATAAAACCCTCAATTAACTGAAGTTTTGACTACAGAGAAAGGGAACATAGGATGGGTAGTAGAAGGAAATCATAAATATCAACTATCACCTCAGGAGTAGATGCAGAAACAAGGACATTAGCCACAATGCTTATTTTCTCCTCGCTTTGTAATACGTATATTTTATATATTGGCCATTTGTGTCTTTTCCTCCCTCCCTTTTTACTCTGTTTTTTTTTTGTTTGTTCGTTTTTGTTTTGTTTTGTTTTTTGAGACGGAGTTCACTCTTGTTGTCCAGGCTGGAGTGCAGTGGTGCGATCTCGGCTCACTGCAACCTCCGCCTCCCGGGTTCAAGCGATTCTCCTGCCTCAGCCTCCCAAGTAGCTGGGATTACAGGCATGCGCCACCACGCCCAGCTAATTTTGTATTTTTAGTAGAGACGAGGTTTCTCTGTGTTAGTCAGGCTGGTCTTGAACTCTCGACCTCAGGTGATTCGCCCGCCTCGGCCTCCCAAAGTGCTGGGTTTACAGGCGTGAGCCACCATGCCCGGCTCTGTTGTTTTTATATAGGGTGTTTAGTGTTGGTTAACCTTTTAATTTAGCCTTCAAGTTATAGTATGGCAAAGGCGAGTTGTGTTGCACTAAAAGGAATAAATATCAGAGATGGAGATAGGAACTGACAGGACTTTGTCTGTCTCCTTTAGCAAAAAGTTTATCATGCCCCAATTACGTCACATTAGGTGATGTTTGGAAGTTTAAACCTTGCTAGCAGGGAGTGTATGAGTGCCAAGTAACCAAAAGGATGGACTGTGCTGGGCATTGGCCATTGATACTCAACTTCAGACTTGCTTTCCAAACTCTATTGTAGGAGCTGGAAGCCTGGAAACCACACTTCCTTGATTTTCTTGCTAAGAGGGTTTATTTTCATTCTACTAATGAGAGGCACGTGTACTATTTGGAAGGCAAAAGAGAAACAAGCCCTTATTCCTTCAGCCAGCGGGCAGGCGTATGTAGGCTTGTTCAGACGGCATACGTGAGGTTCTGCAGGACCTTCTGCATTTTGTTAATCACCTGCTTCAGTGCTGCAGGCAGCTGAGATCATCAGCTGTGATTTCCTGCAATTCCTGCGACTTCTTGATTTCCTGCACTCACTGGCAGCTTTCCCTGACCTTCCTTTCCTCCAGCCCTTCCAGTGTTTTGGAAGCACCTGGGTTCAATCCTTTCCTGAGTGTAATACTTGAGTGCCTTCTGTTTTCCTGACTGAATGCTGACAGAGTTTTCAGATATAAAATACAAATGGTTCTTAAGCGTAGGAAAAGATGGCTGATCTCTCTCATAATAAGAGAAATACAGATTTAAACTATATTACCACTTTTATCAGATGGGGTACAGTTTGAAGCTCAAGAACACTCTGTTGACCTGGGAGAAATGGGCACTCATGCTGCTGTGAAAAGTGGAAATCAATGTTGATCTATATGGAGGGATTTTGGCAATATCTACCAAGTGTATTCATACCTTTGTGAATTTATGTATTCAAAAACTACTCATTACAGCATTGTTTCAAGTATCAGAAAGTCTGAAATATAAATATCCTTCCATGGAGAACAAGTTAGATAATTTATGGCATAACTATAAATTAAATGCTGTAAAGCCATTAAAAAGAATGAGACAGGCCAGGCGTGGTGGCTCACACCTGTAAACCCAGCACTTTGGGAGGCCAAGGTGGGAGGATCACCTGAGGTCAGGTGTTTGAGACCAGCCTGGCCAACATAGTGAAACCCCGTTTCTACTAAAAATACAAAAATCAGCCAGGTGTGGTGGCACGCACCTGTAATCCCAGCTTCTCGGGTGGTTGAGGCAGGAGAATCATTTGAACCTGGGAGGTGGAGGTTGCAGTGAGCTGAGATCACGCCATTGCACTCGAGCCTGGGCAACAAGAGCAAAACTCCTTCTCAAAAAAAAAAAATGAGACAGCTCTAAATGTATGGTTATGAAAAGATATCCAAGCTATTTTAACTAAATCAAATTTTGTATATGTCACAACTGTGTGAAAAAAATTAAAAATATGTATGTTTTTAAAACGCACAGAGTATCTCTAGAAAAATACATACAAATTGACAATAGTGTTTGTTGGGTCCCTTTCTTTCAAAAGGGAATCAGTGAGCAAGCCTGAAAATACAGGTGGCACATTTGTTAGGTTTTCTATGATGTAAAGAGCTTAAAACCAAAGATAATGTTGGTATTATTATTATTAATCTTGTTTCAATCTTTTCTAAGGATGATTTGAGATGAAAAAAGATGTAGGTTTGTGAAAGGTAGACCAGAGAAGCCAGAAACTTTGTCTTTTTTTTTTTTTTTTGAGATGGAGTCTTGCTCTGTTGCTGGAGTGCAGTGGTGGGATCTCTGCTCATTGCAACCTCTGCCTCCCTGGTTCAAGCAATTCTCCTGTCTCAGCCTCCCGAATAGCTGGGACTACAGGCGCGTGCCACCACGCCTGGCCAATTTTTTATATTTTTAGTAGAGGTGAGGTTTCACCATGTTAGCCAGGATAGTCTCTATCTCTTGACCTTGTGAGCCACCCCCTCGGCCTCCCAAAGTGCTGGGATTACAGGCGTGAACCACCCCGCCCGGCCCAGAAACTTTAGCAAACAGTGAGAATAGCTGCTGGAATCACTTCCTGATCTTGAGTTAGATCATATGAAGCCTTGTAAGAGACCCACAAGAAATTCATGGTCATGAGCTTACAGTGAGAATACACAGGAAACTTTGTTTCCTAAGTATCCACAACTAGTTGCTTTAAACTTCTTAAAACCACATTTATTTCAGGCTATTTTTAAAGAATTAAAATGTTACGGAATCTGACTCCAACCCTGCCATCTCCAGAGGCAACTACCAACTAGAAATTGAAATATATATTTTTCTGATACACATTTTCGTGTTTTTACTGTATAACTGTCTACCCATTAACAGTTTATGTTTTGTTTGGTTTTAAAATTTACATATAAATAGTGTACATATCTTTTTGCAACTGATTTTTTTCATTCAATATTAGTGTTTTTGAGATTTATATGCATCAATGTGTGTAATTCTAGTTAATCCATTTTAGCTGACAATTCTAGTTAATCCATTTATCAATTTAATTGATAAATCATTTTATCGGTTTATCACTTGCACTCACATAAACTGAAAGACCAGTTTATCAGTTTCCCTTCTGCTGTAATCTGATGTACCCCAGACTACTCTCCCTCCTTTCTGTTGCCCAGGCTGGAGTGCAGTGGCATGATCCCGTCCCACTGCAACTTCTGCCTCCTTGATTGAAGCAATTCTCCTGCCTCAGCCTCCCAAGTAGCTGGGATTACAGGCATGAGCCACCATGGCTCATGGCTAATTTTTCTATTTTTAGTAGAGACGGGGTTTCACCATGTTGGCCAAGCTGGTCCCAAACTCCTGACCTCAAGTGATCCACCTGCTTCCACCTCCCAAAGTGCTGGGATTACAGGCATGAGCCACTGCGCCTGGCCACACTCTTCTTTCTTGATGAGTGTAGCTCCTGCTACTCATTCTCATGATTATACTCAAGACCTTACCATTACCCTGACATTACCAATTCATATTCTCAATTTTATGCATCCATTCTGTTTATCACTTCTCATATTTCAAGTTTAGCCCTTTCCAGTATCCCAGCTTCAACAGTCCTTTGACCCCATTGGGACCTTAACTCCGTTGATCCTATTACCTTTCATCTGCTCATTAACCCCTCTGCAGTCTCTTTTATAACCTAGCTTCAATTCCATTGCAGTCATTACCACTCCTTTCATACGTCTTCAACTCCCTTACTCCCCTCTTACTTCATCATACACATTGGAAAAACTACAGCCCAGATTAAATCCATCCTCCAGCTACTCCCTGCCCCTTTGACACTGAAGAAAATAAAGGAAAAATAGACAACCACACTGACTGGCCCCATTTTAACTTTATGACCATGAATTTCTTGTGGGTCTCGAATACTACCTGACCATAATTCTGTGTTTCCTTAGTCTATTCATTCTTCCTCTCTCATTGATGACTATTTCATATTTTACATTGTCTCCTCTTTCATCTAACTCCCATTCCTCCTCCCCACCCTCCCTTTTGGCTAATGGCTAAGAGAATCCAAGTAACAAGGGGGAGAATTTCCACAATCTTATCACATCTACTGACCTACCAACACCTGCACTCACAGACTCTGCCTTCTTGCCTACCAGTATTCGTGCTTTTCTCTAAAGGCAACCTCTCCACTTGTGAATTAGGTCCTACTCTTACCTATTCAAGAACTACTGTAGCAATTCTCACTTCTATCCTGAATGATCATTTTTTTTTCTTTATATTGCAGCTCCCTGCTAGCATATAAACACTTTCATTTTGCCTATCTTAAAACCCTTTTATCTTCCCCTTTTCACTGTCAACTGTCTTCTGTATTTCCTTGCTCCCCTTTGCAACAAAGCCTGAGATATATGTACTTTCCAAATCCGATTCTCCTCTCATTCTCTCTTGAACTCGCTCAGACTTTTGTCTCTTACATTTCATCAGAACTGCTCTTCTCAAGATGTCTTTTATTGTGTAGTCCAGTATTTAAGCTGTTGTCCTTATCTTATTCAACCTGTCAGCAGCATTTGACATGGGTGGCCCTTCCTTCCTCCTTGACACTTTTCCAGTTGCTTCCAGACACCATACTCTTGGTCTTTCTCCTGTCTCACTAGCTGCTTCTCAGTCTCCTTTACTGGTTCCTTCTCATGGCCTTAACCTTCTAATAAGGCTCAATCCTTGAATCTCATCTCTAGCTACATCAGACCCCTTAGTGGTCTTATACAGTCTCATGGATTTAAATACTATCTAGTTGGGAGTGGTGGTGTACCTGCAGTCCCAGCTACTTGGGAAGTTGAGGCAGGAAGATCCCTTGAGCTCAGGAGTTTGAGCCTGTGGTGCACTATGATCTTGCCTGTAAATAGCCATTGTAATCTGGCCTAGGCAACATAGGCCCCATCTCTATTTAAAAAAAAATACTGTCTATACACTGAACAACTCTAGCTCAGATATCTCTTCAAGATGCCTGTCTAATTTCCAATTCAGAACTCAAGATGCCTAATTCCCAATTCAGCATTTTCATATGAATGTGTAGTATACCTGTAAAGTAAACATGTTCAGAACTCAGCTTGTCTTCTCCCCTCAAACCTGCTCCATGGCTGGGCACAGTGGCTCATGCCTGTAATTCCAGCACTTTGGGAGGCCGAGGTGGGTGGATCACCTGACGTCGAGAGCTTGAGACCAGCCTGGCCAACATGGTGAAACCCTGTCTCTACTAAAAATACAAAAATTAGCTGGATGTGGTGGTGCATGCCTGTAATCCCAACTTCTCAGGAAGCTGAGGCAGGAGAATTGCTTGAACCCAGGAGGCAGAGGTTGCAGTGAGCCAATATCCCACCACTGCACTCCAGTGTGGGTGACAGAGCGAGACTCCGTCTCAAAAATAAATAAATAAAAATTTTTAAAAACCCTGCTCCGTGGGTTACACGCTTCTCAGTTGATGGCAACTTCATCCTTCCAGGTGATCAGGCATAATATGAGTTATCCTTGAGTCTTCTCTTTAACTCTCATTCCACATCCAATCTGTCAGGATTTTTATAGGCTCTATATTCAAAATATATCTAGAACCCAACACTGTTGTTATCATTCTGGCCCAAGCCATCACCATTTCTCACTTGAATTACTGCAGTGGCTTCCTGCTTCCATCCTTGCTTCCCCGTAAGTGTAGCCAGAGTGATCCCTTTAACATGCAGTCAGATCACTTTGCTCCTCTGTTTAAACCTCTGTAATGGCTGCTCATTCATTCAGACTAAAAAGCCCACAAGTCCTTACAGTGGCCCACATGACTGTATCATCTACCCCTTGCTCCACTTCATCTTATTGTAACCCTCTCCCCTTGGCTCTCTTCACAGTCTCACCAGCCTCCAGCTTTTGGATCTTTACACAGTCTGGTTCTTCTACCTGGTTTGCTCTTTCCTCCAGATATCTGCACAATAATTCCCTCATCTCTTTTAAGTTTGTGCTGTGTCACCTACTTAATAATGCCTACTTTGATCTTCTAATTTAAATTGTCACTGGCCACCCACTCCCCACCCCACTACTGCCTTACGTATTTGCAGAGGGTGGCATTTACATAGAACATAATATGAATGGTATCCTTGAAGTTGTGGAAAGTAGCTTTCCTGTATTACGTAAGTAATACGTACCATACGTATGTATTAGGCTTATTGTTTGTCTTCTTTAATTAATATGTAACCTCGCCAAGGAGAGGAATGTTTGTCTTTTTTACTCACTGGTGTATCCCAAACATGTTGAATGGTCCCTGGCATATGCGTGCCTAGTGAGTATTTGTAGAATAAATAGACAATTAGATTATGTCCAAGTTATTTATTTATTTATTTATTTATTCATTTATTTATTTATTTTTTGAGACAGAGTCTCGCTCTTTCGCCCAGGCTGGAATGAAGTGGTGTGGTGTGATCTCAACTCACTGCAACCTCTGTCCCCCGGGTTCAAGTGATTCTCCTGCTTCAGCCTCCCAAGTAGCTGGGATTTCAGGCACCTGCCACCATGCTCGGCTAATTTTTTTTTTTTTTTTTTTGGTATTTTTAGTAGAGGTGGGGTTTCACCATGTTGGCCAGGCTGGTCTTGAATTCCTGACCTCAGATGACCCACCCGCCTCAGCCTCCCAAAGTGCTAGGATTACAGGTGTGAGCCACCATGGCTGGCCCAAGTTTTTGATACTATAAACAATACTGAAGTGAGTATCTGTGATGGTTAATTTTATGTGTCCACTTGACTGGATTACGGGCACCCAAGCTTTTGACCAAACATTACTCTGGGTGTGCCTGTGAGGGTGTTCCCAGATGAGATTAGCATTTGGATTGGCAGACTGAATACAGCAGATTGCCCTTCCTAATGTGGGTGGACCTCAGCTCATCAATCGAAGACCCGAATAGAACACAAAAGCTAAGTAAGAGGGAACTCCTCTTCTCTGGCTGCTTGAGACATTGGTCTTTTCTGGCCTTAAGACTCAGACTGGCCGGGCGTGGTGGCTCATGCCTGTAATCCCCACACTTTGGGAGGCTGAGGCAGGTGGATCCCCTGAGGTCAGGAATTCAAGACCAGCCTGGCCAACATGGTGAAACCCCATCTCTACTAAAAATACAAAAAATAGCTGGGCGTGGTGGCGGGTACCTGTAATCCCAGCTACTTTGGGAGGCTGAGGCAGGAGAATCACCTGAACCTGGGAGGCAGAAATTGCAGTGAGCCAAGATCACACCATTGTACTCCAGCTTGGGCAACAAGAGCAAAACTCTGCCTCAAAAAACAAACAAACAAAAAAACTCAGACTGAAACATCAGCTCCTGGGTCTGGAGCCTCGTGGCTTTTAGTATTAATAACATCAGCTATTCTGGTTCTCAGGCCTTTGGACTTGAACAATGGTTCTCCTGGGTCTCCAGCCTGCCACCTGCCTATCTTGGGACTTCTCAACCTCTGTAATCCTGTGAGCCAATTCCTTATAATTAAACACACACACACACACACACACACACACACACACTCTCTCTCTCTCTCTCTCTCTCTCTCTCTCTATTGGTTCTGGTTCTGTTTCTCTGGAGAACTCTGGGTAATACAATATCTTTGGCTTATCTCCTTGTGTACCTATGTAAGAATTTCTCTAGGAAGATTATGAAGGAGTGAAGTTGCTTGGTCTTAGGGGTATACGTATGTTCCACTTTATTAGATATTGCCAAAGTGCTTTTACCAATCTAAGCTTTCTTCTACAACTGTCTAATAGTTTATGTTTCCACATAATTTTGTGAGTCCTGATGGTCAATCTAATGGATTTTTAATGGTTTTTTTTTTTTTTTTGGGAAACAGGGTCTCGCTCTGTTGCCCAGGCTGGAGCGCAGTGGTGTGATCATAGCTCACTGCAGTCTCAGACTCCTGGGCTCAAGCCATCCTCCTGCCTCTACCTACCTAGTAGCTGGGACTATAGGCACAGGCCACTGTGCCTGGCTAATTTTCTTATTTTTTATAGAGATGAAGTCTCACCATGTTGCCCAGGCTAGTCTTGAACTCGTGACGTCAAGTGATCCTCCCGCCTTGGCCTCCCAAAGTGTTGGAATTATGGACTCGAGCCACCACATTTGGCTGACAGTATCGCTTAATTTTTAATTTTCCTACTGCTACTAATTTTACCTATATGAGATCGCATTTTTGTGAGCTAAAACTATCAAGTATTGGCAATTTAATGAGGTTTAATCTAATAGTGAATATCTTTACAATGAAAACTTTTGCCACCCAGATTTTGTCTATATATTACTTGCCCTTATATTCTTGACATTTTTCTATTAGATTGTCTTTCTCCAAACTGCTCTTTCCCCCTTCTCTCCTTTTTGTAGTTCTTTACTGATAGCTTCTCCTGGTCTATGGTTGAGAGTATGTTGTCCTTTTTATAGAGAAATTTTGATGCCACCAAAATTTGGACACCAGTATCCATTACCTGCCACTCTCAATTACCCTTAACCGCCCCCCACCCCCGTGGCCTTAGGCAACAACTAATCGACTTTCTATATGTACATATTTGCCTGTTATGGACATTTCATGTAATGGAATCATAAAATTCCATTCTTTCAATTACTGGGTTCCTGCCATTCTCCTGCCTCAGCCTTCCGAGTAGCTGGGACTACAGCTGCCCACCACGGCGCCCGGCTAATGTTTTTTTATTTTTTAGTAGAGACAGGGTTTCACCGTGTTAGCCAGGATGGTCTCAATCTCCTGACCTCGTGATCCACCCGTCTCGGCCTCCCAAAGTGCTGGGATTACAGGCGTGAGCCACCGTGCCCGGCCTAGCATGTTTCTTTCAGTGAGCATGTTTCAACTAGCATGCTTCTTTCAATTAGCACGTTTTCAAGGTTCATCCATGTTGCAGCGAGTATCAGTGCTTCATTTCTTTTTATTGCCGAGTAATATTCTGTCATATGGATACACCACATTTTCTTTATTCATTCATCAGTTGATGGACATTTGGGTTGTTTCCACTTTTTTGGCTCTTATGAATAATGCTGTGAACATTCATGGGCAGTGTTCTTGTTTATTTTAATAGTTTTTTGTTTGTTTGTTTGTTTTTGAGATGGAGTCTCACTCTTGTTGCCCAGGCTGGAGTGCAATGGCACAATTTCGGCTCACTGCAACCTCCACCTCCCAGGTTCAAGTGATTCTCCTGCCTCAGCCTCCCAAGTAGCTGGGATTACAGGCATGTGCCACCATGCCCGGCTAATTTTTGTATTTTTAGTAGAGACGGGGTTTCTCCATGTTGGTCAGGCTGGTCTTGAACTCCCAACCTCAGGTGATCTGCCAGTCTCAGCCTCCCAAAGTGCTGGGATTACAGGCGTGAGCCGCCGTGCCCAGCCTAGTTTTGTTGTTGTTGTTGTTGTTTGTGTTTTTTTGAGACAGAGTCTCACTCCGTTACCCAGGCTGAAGTGGAGTGGTGATATCTTGGCTCACTGCAACCTCCGCCTCCCTGATTCAAGCAATTCTCGTGCCTCAGCCCCACCAAGTAGCTGGGACTGCAGGCATACGCCACCACACCCAGCTTATTTTTGTATTTTTAGTAGAAACAGAGTTTCACCATTTTGGCGAGGCTGGTCTCGAACTCCTGACCTCAAGTGATCCACCTGCCTTGGCCTCCCAAAGTCCTGGAATTACAGGCGTAAGCTACCACCCCTGGCCTATTCTAATAGTTTTTTTTTTTTAAAGCAGATTCCTTAGGGTTTACTACATACAAAATCATGTCATCTGCAAATACAGATAGCTTTACTTCCTTTCCAATCTTGATGCCTTTTATTTTTGTCTCTAACCTAATTGCTCTGTCTAGAACCTCCAGTACAATGTTGAACAGAAGTGGCAAAAGCAGGCATCCTTGTCTTGTTCCTGATCTTAGGGAGAAAGCTTTTAGTCTTTTAATTATGATGTTATCTGTGGGTTTTTCATAGATACCCTTTATCAGGTTGAGGAAGTTCCCTTCCGGTCCTAGTTAGTTGAGCATTTTATCATGAAAGACTGTTGGATTTTTTTTTAATTTGAATATGATTTTACTGAAGCATACATCATTTCAAAGCAAAATTAGTTTATGTTGTCAATTCTAACATATAATACATTTAAGTCATTATATGAATTTCATTTTTTGTGTATTTCACTGTAGTGCTGTGACAACAAAATGACATCTGTGTCCCAGAGCATACATATATCAACAGTAAGATGTAATTTTTCATTACATCACTGCTAGAATATTTAGCTTTGTGTAGGAGACCTAAGCATGTAAGATGGCCACACTAAATAATTTTCTGTTTTTTTCCTTAGGTAATCTTAATTTTTTATCAGTAATACTTTATAGCTGTTAGTTGTGCATTGGCAGTATAAAAGCTAATATATACTGTATGGTCTTGCAACAGTTTTAAAGCCTCTGCATAACTGATAATAAAAATGCATGACATTTTTGTTTTTAATAGACTTTTAAAATTATAGTTTTAGGTTTAACACATAGATCTTTGTACACTTGACTTTTTGACATAGCAAGGCCAAAAATAACTTTCTGAATATTTTTTTCTTGTGTATAAGTGGAAAGGGCATTTTTCACATATAAGTGGGCTAACCAATATTTTCAAAAGAACTTCATCATTGTGCAACTAACAACAGTAACTAGCCCTTAATTATGGTGACAGTTCCTTATTGGTGTGTGTGAGATTACTCTAGCAGCTATTACAGTATAACACAGATGATCTTCACACACCCCATCACCCAGATAATTTACAGTTCTGAAAGATTGTTGGATTTTATCATGTGCTTCTGCATCTGTTGCAATGATCATACAGTTTTTGTCCTTTCTTCTCTTGACATGGGATATTCAAATATCACATGACTGGGATCAATTTCACTTGGTCATGACGTATAATCCTTTTTATGTGCTGGATTCAGTTTGCTAGTATGTTGTTGAGGATTTTTGTGTTAGTATTCATCTTTGTCTGGTTTGTTATCAGGGAATACTGACCTCATCTCCACCTTGCCTTCAACTGTGAGCAGCTGCTTTGTTAATTAACGTGCATCCCAATCTGTATTCCTTCCATGTTGCTAAGGGATTTGCTTTTCTTTCTATTTTCCTTGTATCTGTTATTTCTTTGTGTTTATAGTATGTGGCATTGTACTTTAGGTCATTTTTCCATGTTGCCAGATCTGATAGTCAAATTTTTGAAAGAAAAATATTTTTTGCTTAATTTTTATATGCACATTATAGAAAAACCTAGAGGCAAAAAAAAAAAAACTTTTATAATTCTGCTTACAGAGATAACTACTGTTAGCATTATGTTTACTCCATGTCTTTCTAATCTCATTTCTGTGTGTGTGTGTGTACAGGTATATATGCACATGTATAAATACAGCTAAACTAAAGAGGAATTGATGCCTTTTATACTATATTATATTATTTTATTATTATTATTTTTGAGATGGAGTCTCGCTCTGTCACCCAGGCTGGAGGGCAGTGGCATGATCTCGGCTCACTTCACTGCAACCTCTGCCTCCTGGGTTCAAGCGATTCTCCTGCCTCAGCCTCCTGAGTAGCTGGGATTATAGGCACGCACCACCATGCCTGGCTAATTTTTGTATTTTTAGTAGAGATGGGGTTTCACCATGTTGGCCAGGCCAGTCTCAAACTCCTGACCTCAGGTGATCCATCTGCCTCGGCCTCCCAAAGTGCTGGGATTACAGGCGTGAGTCACCATGCCCGGCCTGTACTATCTTATAACATGACTTTTTTCACTAAAGATATTGTCAAAACATTTACGTGTTAATCAGTGTATTCCTACCAGGTGATTTTTAATAGCTACAAAGTATCCCATCATGGTTCTATAATGCAATTTATTCACCCATCTCTGTTGTTGCATATTTAAGGGTTATTTTTTAAAAGTTTGTTTTTATAAACAACACTGACACACGTCCTTGAAACTGCATCTTTGCCTCCATCTATGTTTGTTTCCTTAGTATAAATTGCTGACAGTAGAATACCTAGGTCTTATGAATGTTTTTGGTATTTACTGAAAAATTGAGTTGATTTCTTCTGGAACAATTATCAACCAGATTCCTTTTTAAAAAATTCTGATTCAGTTATGTAAGCTCTACATGGTGTGAAATGGATTTATATGTGTCTCTTCCCAGGGCTGTAGGCATTGCGCTGTAATTTTCTGCTAAGGTTACTAAGAGGTAGTCTCTGGTGCGACTTTCCTACCTACCGTAGTTCATACGTGCTCTGAAGTATTAGTACGTGCACCAAAGGAGAAAGTTTCTCTATGATGACTTTTCAACATGAAAAATAAAGTGTAGATGCCTCACATCATTTATCTGCTCCATTTACCAGCACCCAGCCTCATCCTGCCTCAGCGAACTTAATAAGATTAACAGATGTCATTTCTTTAATCTTCATTAGAATACTGTCAGGTAACAGCGTCATTCTGGGGTTACCAGAACTGAGGCATAGAACACTGATGAGAGGGACTAAAATCACGGGAAAACATTCCTCAGGCCTTGCAACTTCCAATATAGTCAATCCATACTTTTCTCAAGTAGTTTTTTTTTTTTTTTTAACAGAGTACTACATCAGAAGCCTTCAAAATGGAATTGGTTTATTATTCAAATATTCTATTTCATAAATTATAAATTATGTAAAATATGGCCATCATTCTTGCTTCAAAGCACTGAAAAGAGACATGATAAGATTCTAAGAAATTATCATTAATGTTATTAAGTTTCACAATGGCATTATGATTATGTATGGATGTGGACATAATTTTTACATATGCATATTGAAGTATATAGGTGGAAAACCATGAAGTCTGATATTTGCTTTAAAATTCAGTGGGGAGGGAGAGAAGGAGAGAAGGTTGGATGGATAGTTGAAGCAAGTATGGCAGAATTTGTTGAATTTGTGTGTTGGGTTGATGGCTCATTGTACTATTCTTCTTTTGTGAACATTTGGCGTTTTTCATAATTTAATAAAAGGTGTTTCCTTTAAGTTGGGGAGAGAGGAAGAAAGGGTAGAAAGAGAGGAAAGAGAGAGGGAGAAAGAGAAGACAAAGAGACACTCACAGAGAATCCTGTTGAGACTGAGTCAGTGAGACCAAGTCACAGGAAATCTGTCTGATAAAGGGAAAAACTTGGCTGAAGCTGACTTTGTTATGAATTAGCTTCCTGCTGCCATCTAATGGCACACACGTACTTATGGATATGTATATGTGTATCCATAGACAACACACACACACACACACACATGCGTTTCTATTGCTCAAAGCCTGTATCTATCTGTTTTTAAATTATTTCCCCACATCATAAACATCTTTTAATCTCATCTCATTTACCCTCATCACATTTTTGAGAGAGTAAAAAAAATGTAGGGATGATGCTATCTTTTTATAGACAAAACTGAGGCACTGAGGAGGTAAGTGGCTTTGCCACTTTTGAAAAGCTAGATCGGCTGGGCAGGGTGGCTCATGCCTGTAATCCCAGCACTTTGGGAGGCCGAGGTGGGTGGATCACAAGGTCAGGAGTTTGAGACCAGCCTGACCAACGTGGTGAAACCCCGTCTCTACTAAAAATACAAAAATTAGCTGGACGTAGGGCACATGCCTGTAATCCCAGCTATTCAGGAGGCTGCGGCAGGAGAATCGCTTGACCCTGGGAGGCGAGGTTGCAGTGAGCCGAGATCGCGCCACTGCACTCCAGTCTGGGTGACGGAGCAAGACTATGTCTCAAAAAAAAAACAAAAAAAGCTAGATCAACATGACCTCTTTCCTTGAACCCATGCTTTGTGACATCTGTCTCAGAACTGCCCTGGTTGCATTTCCTAGTGTTAGTCCTTAAAGCACAGGAATGACGTTATTAATATCAATGAGATATGGAAACTCATTTGAAACCATCTCTGATCTCTGTCTTCATCATCGCATGGTATTCTCCCTGCATGGGTGACTCTTTCCTTCCCGTTTTCATATGGACTGCAATCATTTTGGATTAGGGCTCACCCTACTTCAGAATGACCTAATCTTAACCAATTACATCTGCAATTACCCTGTTTCCAAATTAAGTCGCATTCTAGGTACTGGGGATTGGGACTCGGTGTTCATACTCCAGTGTATGAATAATGAGAAGGGGACACAGTTCAACCCATAACACTCCCTTTTCTGAAACTTCTCGCTAGATTTGTGTTTTGTTCATGAACTGTCTCACATTGCATATGGTTTTCTGCCTTTCTTCTCTTTCTGGATTGTAAGTTTTTTTTGTTTTTTAGATGGAATCTTGCTCTGTCACCAGGTGGGAGGGCAGTGGCAGTCTCTCCTCACTGCAACCTCCACCTCCTGGGTTCAAGTGATTCTCCTGCGTCAGCCTCCCGAGTAGCTGGGACTACAGGTGCAAGCCACCACGCCTGGCTAATTTTTTATATTTTAGTAGAGACAGGGTTTCACCATGTTGACCAGGATGGTCTCAATCTCTTGACCTCGTGATCTGCCTGCCTCAGCCTCCCAAAGTGCTGGGATTACAGGCGAGAGCCACTGTGCCCGGCCAATATTTTTTTTTCTTTTTTTTTTTTGAGACGGAGTCTCGCTCTGTTGCCCAGGCTGGAGTGCAGTGGCTCGATCTCAGCTCACTGCAACCTCGGACTTCCAGGTTCCAGCAATTCTTCTGCCTCAGGCCTCCCAAAGTGCTGGGATTACAGGTGTGAGCCACCGCACGCGACCTAGATTGTAAGATTTGTAAAGTCTGTGGTTTGTCGTTATAAAATCCATAGTGCTAAGCACAGAGGCTGGATAGATGTTTATTAGGGGCCTTACATTTCTTCACTATGGCTACCTTTGGGCATCCAGGTTAGGTTATACCTCCAAAGAGCAAGAGGCAGGATTTCATTAAAATGTTGATGAATCCAAAGTTCTTCTACGTACCTGTCTGCCTGCACTGAAGTTCATAAGTTTATGTATCATTGTTGGAGTCAGGACAAAATGGGGTTTGAGAGTCAGGTTGAGAACCCAGGGGGTGAGAATGGATGAGAGAGAGGGAGAGAGAGAGAGAGAGAGAGACGAAAGAAAGAGAGAAAGTGTGGCTATCACAAAGCCAGGGGAGACACTGAGTTAATGATGGTAGCATGATATCAGAGAATCAGAAATATGCCATAAAAGAAGTGAATACAAGGATTACAAGAACATTTCAAAACCTAATGCTAGTGTTCAGGGGACAGAGATCCTGCAAGAGTTGAAGAGAGGGAGTAAGCCACAAAACAATTCCAAGCACCGGTGTCAAAGGGGCAAAATATCTGGCCAAAGGTTCAGGCAATGGAAGTAGAATATCAGAAGCAAGAAATCGATTTGATGATGAGCCAGGTCATGGCCTTTTCCTGGGGATCTTACATCCCTGGGAAGGCCAGGAACAGGTCCATAAATTCAGCCAATCTAGGATCCACTTGGAGAGAGAAGGGGAAGCACTTGGCTGGAGCAGGGGCTTGCATAGCCTCTGGTAGCCACTGACAAGACCTCAGCACGGGAGGCCAACCCTCAGACGCATTGCTGTTCATTTAGTCAAAATGCTGAGCTGTACAATTAGAAAAAAATAACTCATTGTCCCTTCTCTCAAGATGCTGACAGGTTCATGGGGGAAATCAAACACCTTCAAGAAAAAGTAAGCATCCTACAAAGTAGTAACACAATTTACGTAGGAAGTTGGATTTAAAAAAAACTAATTTTTAGGCCTGGTGAGTTGTCTTATGCCTATAATCCCAATATTTTGGGAGGCCAAGGTGGGAGGATCGCTTGAGCCCAGGAGTTTGAGACCAGCCTGGGTAACTTAGCGAGACCCCAATCTACACAAAATTAAAGAATTAGCCAGGACTGGTGGTTTGCACCTATAGTCCCAGCTACTTGGGAGGCTGAGGTGGGAGGATCACTTCAGCCCAGGAGGTCACAGCTGCAGTGAGCGGTGATCCTGCCATTGCACTCCAGCCTGAGCAACAGAGTGAGACTGTCTCAAAAAAAAAAAAAGAAAGAAACTCTGTTTTTCATAGAGAGCCTACAGACATTTCTTAAGGGGAATCAGCTGTAGTCTAGTTAGGGAATTATGCAAATATATCAAAGAACTACATTACTTTTTTTTTTTTTTTTTTTTGAGAAGGAGTCTGGCTGTATCACCCAGGCTGGAGTGCAGTGGTGCAATCTCAGCTCACTGCAGCTTCTTCCTCCAGGGTTCAAGTGATTCTCCTGCCTCAGCCTCCCAAGTAGCTGGGACTACAGGCATGCACCACCACACCCAACTAATTTTTTTTGTATTTTTAGTAGAAATGGGGTTTTGCCATGTTGGCCAGGCTGGTCTTGAACTCCTGATCTCAAGCGATACCCCTGCCTTGGCCTCCCAAAGTGCTGGAATTATAGGCATGAGCCACTGCACCTGGCCTAGATCACTTTTATTAGTATGTGATTTGAAACAGAGCACATGTAGTTCATCTAACAAACTTCGTAGAACATTTCTTTACAGTGTAGTACCATTGTAATGCAAATGGCATTTATAATGCAGAGGGAGAGGTTTGACATATCGTTTTACTCTTTGAGATACAGCGTGTTCCTAGTGTGGTATTTTTTTTACCTTGTTTGGAAACCAGTTAGCACAGCTAACCTTTGTCTCATGGAAACTTAAATCACTGTTGGTTAACCTGGGGGCCCAGCCATCATCTGTACTGATGATCACCTAGTGATGGTTACATTCTAGTGCGGTGTCTGAATGTCCGAGGTATATTTGGATCACTTTTAACTGAAGACCCAGTCTTTGTTTGTTTTTTTTTTTTCCAAGACGGAATGTTGTACTGTCGCCCCAGGCTGAAGTGCAATGGCACAATCTCGGCTCATTGCAACCTCTGTCTCCTGGGTTCAAGAGATTCTCCTGCCTCAGCCTTCCAAGTAGCTGGGATTATAGGCGCCCACCACCACGCCTGGCTAATTTTTTGTATTTTCAGTAGAGATGGGGTTTCACTATGTTGGCCAGGTTGGTCTCGAACTCCTGACCTCGTGATCCACCCGCCTTGGCCTCCCAACATGCTGGGATTACAGGCCTGAGCCACCGCGCCAAGGCTAGGACCCAGTCATTTAATGGTCTATATTTCTGTGCAGTTTTTAGCTAATATAATACTACAGTGGCCTTCTTTACGGGCATGGTTGTTTATTTTATTTAAAAAGTAACTTTAAAAATTATTGTCCTAAAATCTCATTCTGAATTACTCTTCTGTTGTTCTCAGTGTGTGTAAGAATCTTGCCTTGGGCTTGTTTTGAATCCCCCAGCCAGGAGTGGTAGGAACTTTGGAGTTCACTGATTAACAGCAAATGGTGGGAAAGCGCAGAATTTCCTGGAGCCACATGATTTGGTAGCAGGTGCAAAGGGAACTCTATGGTTTGAGCTATTACATCCCAGAGGCATGATCGAAACAAAACCTCTTTTTAAATGGGGTTAACCTAGAAGGTGACAATTAAAATGTTGAGAGATATTGTTAGGACAGCCACTGTGGGCAAGTAGTGGTGCCCATAGGAGAGATGCCAGAAGACGACTAAGGAGGTGTCACAACCAGGAGCAGAGACCCTGCAGATGGCAACTCACAACAAAGAGAGCGAGGATCAGGTCAAAAGCTCAGGGGGCTGTTCAACAAATTTTGATAAAGGTGACGTGGAGTTCAATCTGAAACCAGGAAGTGGAAGACCTCCCTGTGTCCCCTACAACATCTGTCAACAACGCCTGCCTTTGTGTTAAAACGAGGCCGGAATGGGGAGCAAACTAAAGAACGGGGACCAGTTTCCTCTCTTTGTGCCCCAGTTCCCCCTCCTTTGTATACACCCTCCATCCTGAATAGACTCTGGTTCTCAGCGCTAACACCGACAACATTCATCCTGTAGAGAAACAAATGTTGCTCAGAAGGACACAGCCAAAGAATCATCAGAGAGTTGGGAGCCAAGACCCCCGAGGTAGCACTTGTGGAAATCAAGTCTACATAAGATAACCCATGCAAACAAGCCAAACAAGGCCAACATTGAATGTCACATAGACTGTTTTTTTCCCATCATAAGGCAGAACTTTGATAGAACAGCGAGCAACTTGACGACATGGTTTTAGACTGTTAGACCCTAGTGGCGGCCACGACTGGCTGATGAGTGTTTCCCTCGTTGGGCATTTTAAAAAAAATCACTAAATACTTTATATCTCTTAGAATTTTTGTTGTAAACATGTTGAAAGAGCTGTTTTAGAATTAGCTAGACATTGATTTTTTTCTGATTTTTATGTCACTCTTGTGCACAGATTAAAAAAAGAAAATACAAACAAATCTAATTGGTCAAGGTATTCCTAAACGTTTTTGCATTCAGAGGCTCTTTCATCAATCATCTCCACCCCCCAACCCTGGCTTTACTGAAGTATGATTGACAAATAAAAATTGTACACATTTGGCCGGGCGCAGTGGCTGACGCCTGTAATCCCAGCACTTTGGGAGGCCAAGGCAGGTGGATTACCTGAGGTCAGGAATTCAAGACCACCCTGACAACATGGTGAAACCTCATCTCTACTAAAAATACAAATTTAACTGGGTGTGGTGGTGCATGTCTGTAATTCCAGCTACTTGGGGAGGCTGAGGCTGGACAATCGCCTGAACCCGGGAGGCGGAGATTATAGTGAGCTGAGATCACGCCATTGCGCACCAGCCTGGGCAACAAGAGCAAAAAAACTCTGTCTCAAAAAAAAAAAAAATTGTCACTTTGGGAGGCCAAGGCGGGTGGATCACGAGGTCAAGAGATCGAGACCATCCTGGCTAACATGGTGAAACCCCGTCTCTACTAAAAATACAAAAATTAGTTGGGCGTGGTGGTGTGTGCCTGTAGTCCCTGTTACTTGGGAGGCTGAGTCAGGAGAATCGCTTGAACCCAGGAGGTCAAGATAGCAGTGAGCTGAGATTGTGCCACTGCACTCCAGCCTGGCAACAGAGTGAGACTTTGTCTCAAAAAACAAAAAAATTGTACACATTTAAGGTGTACAATGTGATGTTTTGATATATGTGTACATTGTGAAGTGATTATCACAATCAAACTAGTCACATATCTGTCATGTTTGTTTGTGTGTGGTGTGAATGCTTAAGATCTATTTTCTTAGCAAATTTCACGTATACATTTTTTTCCCCTTTTTTAAAGAGATAGGATGTCACTACATTGGCCAGGCTGGTTTCAAACTCCTGGGCTCAAGCAATCCTCTACCTCAGCCTCCTGAGTAGTGGGGATTACAGAGGCATGCCACAGTACTCCACAACACATTATTATTAACTATAGTCACCGTGCTGTAAAGTAGGTTTCCAGACCTTATTCACCTTATAACTGAAGTTTTGTACCCTGTAACCAACATCCCCCAGTCCATGGTAACCACCATACTACTACTCCGTGTTATGGTGAGCTCGACGTTTATTTAGATTCCACACGAGTGAGATATGCAGTATTTGTCTTTCTGGGTCTGGCTTATTTCACTTAAGATAATGTTCTCCAGGTTCACCAGTGTTGTAGATCCTTGGGCATTTTTAGAAGTGAAGGTCTGCCTGTGAAGATTTCCTAGAAGCTTCTGCCCTCTAGCGCCCAGCCTGAGAGGTAGTGTGGCACCATCCCTACTTATCCGTGCTTCCTTCCTCAATTTACAAATCGTGATTCAGCGTGAGAAAATGATAAAGTCAGCAGGATGGAGGTGAGTAGTGCAAATACATAGCAAATACTGTAAAGATTGATGGAAGAGAAATTGGGAGAATCTAGTTAACTAGACCCAAAAGCATGCACACACCAGTATTATTTCCTTCCCTTTCTCTCGCCCCCTCCGCTTGTAAGTTACCCTCCACCCCATCCCTTCTCCAGGAGAAACGTGCAGCCAGTCCTCAAAGTCCCCCATCACTGGTCATGTCCTTAATCTCCCTGCTTTCTTCTGCCCTTCTTTCCAAGTGGAGAATGTGGGTTACCTGGTGGGAGAAAGCAGATCTGACTGAAGTTCTCTATGGACTCCAGTAGAAGGCATAACTTCGTATAGGTGGGCCTATATCCGTCATTTATTGTTTTCTAAAAACAGATTTGTTATGATGAGAAAAATAATGCACGCTAATTGCAGAAAAGTACAAATTCCCTCACTTATTTATTTCTGCATGCAGATGCTTATTTAACTCAGGCTAAGTAGGTTAAGGTAAGAAATTCTGGAATGGGAAGACAGATCATTAGAGAAGAGGATAGTGGAGCTTCTAAGAGAGTCCAGGTAGGGATCACACCCAGACTCTGCATTCTTTCCCCTCCTCTGAACGCTGCCCCTTGACGTTCTTCGGTTTCCCTTCCTTCAGAGCATGTGCCCAATATCACTGTACACATTCACGTAGTTCTTTCCGCCTCTGACCTGTGATTGCTTGGGGATCTGAGCACCACGGACTGGACTGGGGTGACCTGGTGGGTTGGGCTGAATGCGGGCGCTGGGGCAGCTGCCATGGCCAAGCCTTGCCCTGGAGAACAGCTGTGCTGGGCCCACTCAGACGTACGTGCCTCCCCAGCAGACTGGCTGCATCTGGTATCCTCTTTGACTTCATCTGCATCTCTGTAACTCGAGGTCAAGCAGAAAAGAATAACCTGTTGAAATAACAAATCCATTAAGTTATTTTTAAATATGGATAAGTAAAAAATAAGAAAACAGAAATGGTTTATAATCCCACCTCCTAGCTAGCCTTTGTGGATATTTAAAAAATTACAGGCACAGCCTTAAAATGTGCAAAACAGCACGGGAAAGTCCAAATGAAAAGTAGACAGACTTTCTTTCCAGCAGTCCTTCATTTCAAAGATAACCATTACTGTCTGGGAAAAAAATATGTATGTGTATACTATCTTTTAAAATTTGTAGAACATAGATTTTTTTCCATATTCATTCTGCTGCTTTTTTCTTTTTTCACTTCCTATTTCTCAGAGATATTTATACATTGGCACATCTAGATGTAATTAATACTTCTTAAAAGTGCATAGAATTCCATTTGTAAGGTAGCGTAATTTATTTAGCTTCTTCCTTACTCATGGATATTCAGGGTTTAGTTTTCTCGCTATAACCACATTGCAATGAACGTATGCTTATGTCTGTCTTGGAATATTTTTGTTGGTGTAATCGACAGGGTAATTTCATAGGAGTGGAAGTGCCAAGTTGCATAATGTGGAACTACACTTTAAAAAGGTATTGGTACAGTTTGTCAAATTGCCCTTAAAAAAGATCATACACATTTGGCCGGGCTTGGTGGCTCATGCCTGTAATCCCAGCACCTTGGGAGGCCAAGGTGGGCAGATCACCTGAGGTCAGGAGTTCAAGACCAGCCTGGCCAACATGGCGAAACCCCGTCTCTACTAAAAATACAAAAATTAGCCAGGCGTGGTGGTGGATGCCTGTAATCCTAGCTACTCAGGTGGCTGAGGCAGGAGAATCGCTTGAACCTGGGAGGCAGAGGTTGCAGTGAGCAGAGATCTCACCATTGCACGCCAGCCTGGGCAACAAGAGCAAAACTCTGTCTCAAAAAAAAAAAAAAGCATAGAAGTTTATACTCTCACCACAAAGTGAACAAGGTTGAGCATCTTTTCATATGTAAAATGACAGTTAATATTCCTTTTTCTGTCAATTGCTTATTCATATTCTTTGCTGATTTTTCCATTGGGTTCAGCATTTACTGATTTGGCTGAGCTTGATAAATTAAGAAAATTAGGCTTTTGTCTTTCATTGTATTTTATAAATGTTTTCTCCAATTTGTCTTGTGTTTTAACTTTGTGTTTAGTTCTTGTTTTTGTTTGGTTTGGTTTTTGCTGCAGCAGCATTTTTAACATTTCATACAGCAAATTTGGCAGAGCACCTTTAGGCTATTGGCTTTTCTGTCTTATTTTGAAAGGTCTTCCCCACTGCAAGCTTATACATCAATTTACCCATGCTTTTTATTTAAAACAACAACAACAGCAGCCGCCACCACATGGTTGTTGTCAGGAAAGCCAGCTAGTAAATGCAGAAAGTTTATAAAATACACTTAAGAAACAGAAAAAAATGTTATCGTGAAATTGCTAGAGATAGTCACTGTGAATATTTTGTCATAGAAAGTTCTTGCCTTTGTGAAGGACGTGAACAGACACTTCTCAAAAGAAGACACTTATGCAGCCAAAAAACACATGAAAAAATGCTCACCATCACTGGCCATCAGAGAAATGCAAATCAAAACCACAATGAGATACCATCTCACACCAGTTAGAATGGCAGTCATTAGAAAGTCAGGAAACAACAGGTGCTGGAGAGGATGTGGAGAAATAGGAACACTTTTACACTGTTGTTGGGACTGTAAACTAGTTCAACCATTGTGGAAGTCAGTGTGGCAATTCCTCAGGGATCTAGCACTAGAAATACCATTTGACCCAGCCATCCCATTACTGGGTATGTACCCAAAGGACTATAAATCACACTGCTATAAAGACACATGCACATGTATGTTTACTGTGGCATTATTCACAATAGCAAAGACTTGGAACCAACCCAAATGTCCATCAGTGATAGACTGGATTAAGAAAATGTGGCACATATACACCATGGAATACCATGCAGCCATAAAAAATGATGAGTTCATGTCCTTTGTAGGGACATGGATGAAATTGGAAATCATCATTCTCAGTAAACTATCGCAAGAACAAAAAACCAAACACCGCATATTCTCACTCATAGGTGGGAATTGAACAATGAGAACACATGGACACAGGAAGGGGAACATCACACTCTGGGGTCTGTTGTGGGGTGGGGGGAGGGGGGAGGGATAGCATTGGGAGATATACCTAATGCTAGATGACGAGTTGGTGGGTGCAGCACACCAGCATGGCACATGTATACATATGTAACTAACCTGCACATTGTGCACATGTACCCTAAAACTTAAAGTATAATAATAAATAAATAAAAGAAAGTTCTTGCCTTTGATTCTATGCAGTAACTGACTGTATTTTGATGTCATGAATTATACTTGTTAAATATTTGAGTTATATTTTTTAAAAAAAGTTTTTTCAGCTGTAATTTATATATCATGAAATTCACCCATTTTAGATGTATAATTCAATGATTTTTAGTAAACTTACAGAATTGTGCAATCATCACTACAATCTAAGTTTAGAACCTTTATTTCCTTCACCCCGGAAAGAAACCGTGTGTCCATTTGCTGTCACTCTCCATTCCCTCCCCTCAGCCTTAGGCAACCAATAATCTACTTCCTGTCCCCATGGATTTGCCTTTTTTGAACATTTTATATAAATGGAATCATACAATATGTATGTTTTTGTGTGTTTGGCCTCCTTCACTTTTGTGTGTTTGGCTTGATTTGTGTTTGCTGAAGTTGGGGCACATTCAGAATGGGGTTGACACCTTAGGAAGTGGAAGGGCTAAGAGGCAGGTTCACCAACCAGCAGTGGGGTCAGGAACGTGCTGTTGTTACCTCTGGAATATCAAGGCCAAGGTCTCTCAATATTTCCTGTCCCCCAGAGTAGGCCCTTCACTTAATATGAGGTTCATTTATATTGTAGCTGTATCAGTACTTCATTGTTTTTATGGCTAAATAGTATTTCACTGAATGGATATGCCAGTTTTGAGTATCCATTCATCAGTGGAAAGACATTTGGATTGTGTCCACTTTTCAGCTGTCATGAGTTTTATGCTAGCTATAAACGTTTGTCTACAAGTTTTTATGTGGACATAGTTTCATTTCTTCTGGGTGTGTATCAAGGAATGGAATTGCTGGGTCACATGGTAACTTTATGTTAATATTTGGTTGTATTTTTGAGGAGCTGACTGGGACCAATCCATATCGAAAACCTTAACTAGGAAGTGCAGACAGGAGCCTCCAGAGGAAAACCTCCCCAGAGGGTTAAGACCTGTGCAGTGTTTAAAGTTAGAGGACTTTACAGCTGGGCGCGGTGGCTCACGCCTGTAATCCCAGCACTTTGGGAGGGCAAGGGGGGCAGATCACGAGGCCAGGAGTTCGAGACCAGCCTGGCCACCATGGTGAAACCCTGTCTCTACTAATAATACAAAAATTAGCCGGGCGTGGTGGCACGTGCCTGTAGTCCCAGGTACTTGGGAGGCTGAGGCAGAAGAATTGCCTGAACCTGGGAGGTGGAGGTTGCAGTGAGCTGAGATCGTGCCACTGCACTCCAGCCTGGGAGACAGAATGAGACTCCCTCTCAAAAAAAAAAAAAAAAAAAAGTTAGAGGACTTTGAATAGAGCCTAAGGTTATCTTTGGGTCTTGACCTAACAGAATGTTAGATGTGTTTCTTTTTGTGTGATATCAGTTGAGACACTAATGTGTAATGGACAACAAATACAAAAATGAGTGTTAAGACTGAACCCCACGTGGGCAAAACTTAGAAAGGGTCAGGGGTAAGGAGACGAGAACAGATGTTTGTACACCCATGTTCAGAGCAGCATTATTCACAATAGCTGAAAGGTAGAAGCATCTCAAGTGTCCACTGATGGTTGAATGAAAAAACAAAGTGTGGTCTCTCCACACAATGGAATATTATTCCATCCTGACACGTGCTATAACATGGATGAACCTTGAGGATATTGTACTCAGTAGAATAAGCCAGTCATAAAAAGAAATAATGTATGATTCCACTTACATGAGGTTCCTAGAGAAGTCAGATTCATAGAGACAGGAAGTTCAAATGGTAGGTGCCAGGGACTGGGAGTCGGGGGTGGGGGAGTTCATGTTAGAAACTCTGGGTACAGAGTTTCAGTGTGGGAGGATTAAAAGAATTTTGGAGATTGTTCGGCGGTTATAGTTGCACAGCAGTGTGAATATAGTTAATACAACCGAGCTATACATTTGAAAATGGTAAAAATGCTAAGTTTTATGTTGTATGTAATACCACATACAAAGTAATGAAAAAGAGGGGGATTCCAGTATAGTCAGAGGAGGCGTATTTGTCTCCAGACTCTCCTCTTCTCCTCCACTCCGCCCGTGGCTGGGGAAAGGGCTTCAGTAGGATTGTCCATGAGCTTGATTTGTGTTTGCTGAAGTTGGGGCACATTCAGAATGGGGTTGACACCTTAGGAAATGGAGGGGCTAAGAGGCAGGTTCACCAACCAGCAGTGAGGTCAGGAGCGTGCTGTTACCTCTGGAATATCAAGGCCAAGGTCTCTCAATATTTCCTGTCCCCCAGAGTAGGCCCCTCCGCGGGAGAGCTGGCGAGAGCAGTTTGTGAGTGCTGCCTGGGGAGCCACTGGGAAGGGTGGAGTCTGCAGCAGCATGAAGCCATGTGGAGTGCACAGTGGGGAAAAGCAGCCTGGGGGGTGGAATGTTTTGTTCAAAGCCTGAGAATTAGGTGAGAGGCCTCAGCAATTGGGTAATTAAAAAGAAAACAAAAGCCCATGAAATTGCTTCGTGGAAGTAAGAGTTTGCTTTCACTGTGTCAAGCCCAGAGTGCAGGGAGCCACCCAGCTAAGTAGAATCCATTGCCTCTCCCCAGGAAGGGCCCCAAACAGCAGCTAGTGGGAGAATGCAGAAGAGGAGAAGACGCCCACACCTTCTTCTCCAAAGCAGGCAGTCTTTAGACCTCACTTAGCCAAGAAGAGAAAGACTCTGAATGAGGACTGAATGGCTTGTTAGTATCTTGGACTGAACCTGTACAAGTTACTAAACCAATGCTGATTTTATGATCTTAACACTGTAGAACCATCCATTATCTAAGAGTGAATGCAGAAGTCATGAGATTTGCCCAAGTATCCATTCAGGGATAGAGGAAATTATCTCCATAATTATATTTTGAAGGCACCACAGGAGAATAAACAAAAACAAACAAACAAATAAAAGACAGTTATTGGCTTTGCTACAAAACTGGTTTAGTCAATATACAAATTGTACTCCCAGCCCTTTTCCCCCCCAGAATATCTTTATTTTTTTCTACATATGAACACTTTTTTCCCCAGTGTCTTTGTAAAGACTTTTATTTTTGTGGTCCACATGCTTTAACTTGTGTATGGAAATAATCTGGACCGAGTCAGCAATCGTGGGTTCTAGTCTGTGGTCTTCTTTATTTTATTTTAATTAATTAATTTTATTTATTTATTTATTTTTGAGACGGAGTCTTACTTTGTTGCCAGGCTGGAGTGCAGTGGCACGATCTTGGCTCACTGCAACCTCCACCTCCTGGGTTCAAGCAATTCTCCTGCCTCAGCCTCCTGAGGAGCTGGGACTACAGGTGTGTGCCACCATGCCCAGCTAATTTTTGTATTTTTAGTAGAGATGGGGTTTCACCATGTTGGCCAGGATAGTCTTGATCTCTTGGCCTCGTGATCCACCTGCCTTGGCCTCCCAAAGTGCTGGGATTACAGGTGTGAGCCCCTGCGCCCGGCCTCTTCTTTTTTTTAATTTAAATTTTTATTTTAAGTTCTGGGGTACATGTGCAGGATGTGTAGAGTTGTTACATAGGTAAACGTGTGCCATGGTGGTTTGCTGCACAGATCAACCCATCACCTAGGTATTGAACCCAGCATCCATTAGCTATTTTTCCTAATGCTTTCCCTCCCCGAGTCTCAGTCTTCTTAACAGAGGGTGGTGGGGGGAAAGAAATATGTCTCTTGCCATGTGACAATGTTATTATGAAGATTAATATATCAGCACTGGGCTATTTATTTGGGGAGTGAGGGTGGAAGGAATAAATTCTACATTTATACCTTTAAAAATTGTTAAATACTCTTCTATTAATATTTGAGCCTCCTTTCTTTATTTGCATTGTACATGAAATAGTCCTTACAAAATGAATCATTTAATATGTTGGCACAAATATAGTCTTTCTTAGTCAATGTTCGCATAGAAACCATGTGGAATTATTTTACTCAAAAAGGGAGTTATTAGAAGGATGCTGGTGAAGGATATCTGCATTCCTGAGGGCCAAGACCCAGGAAGCAAGAAGCCATCAGGAATTCCCAGGCCTCATCTGCTTCATTCTTTTCTTCCAAGATTATATCACTGTAGTTTCAGCCAAACACAGAGATCATAATTCCATAGTCCCCAAGAAACAGCTAGGTTAGGGACATAGGTCTCTTAATATAGAAGGGCTGCCAGGAACTCAGCTAGTGGGTGTGTGGGGACAGACCTTGGAGAAAAGGGGTAATTGTGCACTGGATTGACATAAAAGAAGTGTCTGCTCTGAAGCTATAGCAGCCTCCCTTATCCATGGGGTATTGATATGTTTCAAGACCCCAATGGATGGCTGAAACCTTAAATACTACTGAACACTAGACATACTGTTTTTCCCTCTACATACCTATGATAAAGTTTAATTTATAAGTCAGGCACAGTAAGAAATGAACAACAATAGCTAATAATGAAATAGAATTATAGCAGTATACTTTAATAAAAGTTATGTGAATGCGGCCTCCTTCTCTCTCAGAATGCTTTGTTGCACTGTACCAAGGGTAAACTAAAAACCATGGACAGTGAAACTGCAGATAAGCGGGGACTGTTGTATTTGGAAATGAAGCTGTCATTCATTTCCTTCCTGCCCACCAAAAACCCACTGTATTAGGCCATTCTTGCATTGCAATAAAGAAATACCTGAGACTGGGTAATTTATGAAGAAAAGAGGTTTAATTGGCTTGCGGCTCTACAGGCTGCACAGGAAGCATGGCACCAGCACCTGCTTGGCGTCTAGGGAGTCCTCAGGAAGCTTTCAATCATGGCAGAAGGCGAAGGGGAGCAGGTACATCACACGGTGAAAGCAGGAGCAAGTTGGGGTAGGGAGGTGCCACACAATTTTAAGCAACCAGATCACGTGTGAACTGAGTGAGAGCTCACTTATCACCAAGGTGATGGCCCAAGCCATTCATGAGGGATCTGCCCCCGTGATCCAAATACCCCTAGCAGGCCCCACCTCCAACATTGGGGATTACTGTTTCAACCTGAGATTTGGGTGGGGACAAATATCCAAACTATCTCACCAACCAACCCCTAACTGTGATCACTGCAAATAAACCCCAGTAACAGAAAAAGCAGTCCAATGAAAGATATAACAATTTTTCTATTTCTTCTGAGTTTAGAAAAATGAGCTAGAAATTTGGTGTGTGGGAAAGTTCGTCTAAAGTCTTGTATATGCTCAAGAATGCCTTGTCTGTGAGTGTGCTCTATAACATTTCGAGAAACTACAGAAGGAAATTATAACGCCTTTTCCCATGAAAACTGTTAGGAAAATGGGGCCAGGAGCAGTGGCTCATGCCTGTAATCCCAGCACTTCGGGAGGCCGAGGCGGGCAGATCACGAGGTCAGGAGATGGAGACCATCCTGGCTAACACGGTGAAACCCCGTCTCTACTAAAAATACAAAAAATTAGCCGGGCGTGGTGGCGGGCGCCTGTAGTCCCAGCTACTCGGGAGGCTGAGACAGGAGAATGGTGTGAACCCAGCAGCGGGTGCTTGTAGTGAGCCGAGATCGCGCCACTGCACTCCAGCCTGGGCGACAGAGCGAGACTCCGTCTCAAAAAAAAAAAAAAAAAAAAAAGGAAAATGGATGCCAGTTGACAGGATCAAATTTCGTATTTGTATACTTGGTAGATTTGGAACTCTAAAGTAGATCCTATGAGGAGACAGATAATTGAACAACAACAACCAAAAAGTAAAAAAAACTCTGTGTCCTAGATGACTCCATGAAATGTAAGTCAAGCACTATGGTATACCATATTTACCCTAACAGAGAAACACTCAGAAACCTAGCCGGTTTTTTGAGGGAAGAACTATTTGTATAGAAACCTGGAGGTACAAACCATTTAGTAGGAGAATTGTCCTATTGTGCCTTCAGCCACATCTCATTTAAAATCGTAAGTAAAGAAAGTTCTAGAGCCTGTAGTAAAAATATTTATTCAAATGTAAATTCATTTATTCAAATGCATTTTATCTACCCTTTCCTTCCATCCGGCACCTTCTCAAGGACCTCTCTAGTATAGTATTTTGGGATCTTGAATCAGCTGCTGACCATGGCTCTTAGTTGCATAGAGACCTCTTGTTGTAAACGCATTTGCTTGTCGTGGAGCTTAACATTTATTATTTAGTAAGCAAAGATAGACATGGGTTCAGGATCCTGCAGAAATTAAACAGAGGTCCTTGAAAAACTTGAATGTGTCCTGCTTATCTTTTCATTTCTCCTTTTCCTGGGTTTTCACTGATATCCGTATGGGAAAAATATAGCTATATTTTCCTCTTGTATTCTCCAAGCAAGTACTGAGTAGCCCAGATTCACCATTTGACAGGAAACAGTGTCATCACCGTAGGCAGATCTAATACCGATGGAAAAGAGCTGATGTAATTTAAATGCTCTCTGTGATTTCTGGAAGTCTTTACAGAATTGTTTTGTATTGTAAGAGCCGCCAAAGGCAGCTGTACTAAGCAACATTTAACAGAGTAGTAAAATGCATTTCAGACCAGGAGGAATTCAGCCATGCTAGCACATGGCACCTTCCACGCTGAAAGGCAAATCACAATCAGAATAAGGCCCACGAAGTTTATTTCACCTACTGTGTTTGCAACTTTGCCAAACCGCAACTTTAACAGTGACATAGACATATAAATATATAATGTACATGAACAAATGACCAGTAAACTTTGACATCTGGTTTTTATCTTAAGTCTGTTTCTTTGTCTTGTCACTGTGGAAAAAAACCCGGAAAAGTCTTGAAAGCTAATTAGCTCCAAATTTATTTTAGGAATGAAGGGCCAAAGAGTTTTGATGACAAATTTTTCTTTGTTGCAGCTGCCAAGCTGGTCTCTGACCCCTCAATTTAATGGAAGTGATTATTTATTTGCACATACGTCCTTTGTTTTTTTCAATACAGAACTCTCTTTCCTGGAAATAGGCACCTAGCTTCTAATTCCCATTTGCAAAGAATTTGCTGTCTTAAACAAGCTTTAAAATACTGTACTAAACATCTCTTTCAATATATTCCTTTATTAAACTGATTTCTAGGCTTTATCAGAGGGAATGTATAATAATAATATGTATTGTTTTTTGAGTTTACATTTTCCTTCAAATTAAAAAATTTTTTTCTTATAAGACTAATTTCCCACCCAGTTTACATATTCTTAGTGGGTGTGCATGCAAACACACACGTATGTACACATATACACACACAGTTTATACATTCTTGTCTTTTTCATTATATTTATGAATATGTTATTTTGGTATAGGTGTAAATGAAAAGTTATTAATTTCAGGTTATTGATTGTCTATTATTTTGAAAGACCAAAGTTTGACTTAATTCCACTTATCATAATCACAAAACTTCTGGTGGGCTATCTCATCCTTTTAAAGCAGTTAAATAGCTTTTATATAAATATGAATATATAATATGTACACAAATGTATGTACCCATACATATTTGAGAAATATATATAATACATATGGCATATATATGAAAGCACCACTGAATCAGACACATTATATACATTTCTCTTGATTTTAGAGCAAAAAGCGTTTAGGGGGAAATGTATAGGCTGAAGTTAAAGATTTGGGAACTCAGTGGTCATAAAGTTGCTGGTCTAATGATGTCAATGTCAGTCCTCCAGCCTAATGGGAAAGGTATGGAGAACCCCTTAGCTTTCTTCTCAACAGAACTTGTCTCCTTTTCCTCCTCTGCACACTGTGAGACTTTGTAGGACTTAGAAGGCTATGTCTGTGAATCAGCCAGGAAATAGATCTCTCTGCTGGGCTTAATCAACCTCTGCTGCCCTTAGGTCTTCGCAGAGGTCCTGGGATTGCAGGTTCTGGACCTAGCCCAAGGAAGCTCAGTTTTTCCTTGCCAAAATCTACGCAAATAACATCCAGAAGTGGATCACTTTTTCTTTTTTTTAAGAGCATGAATTTAAGTGTCACTCATTCTCCCATGTAAACATTGGCATAAATAGCTGATTTTATCCTTGGGATGGCATAGTCTATCCCACGACTGCCAAAAGAACCTGGACCCTGCCATGGTAAATAAACCCCTCATCTTGCCCAAGAAGAAGGACATTTATATGGTTATAAATACCTACATTTTATTACAGGCTTAAAATTTGATACAAAATGTAAACATTGTGTTTGGCATAGTTGGGAGTAAATTTACATTGCTAATGGTTGCAAAACAAAAATAAGCTTTAGTTAGCAAAGAAAACTTTAATAATTCTATTGAAAATAAATTTTACTGCTATGGCAACTGTAGAACAAAGATAATAAACAAAAGATAACCATGGCGTGAAACCATATCACATTTGTGGGCCATGGGCTGGGAGATTGAATCCTTAGTACTTCTTATGAAAACACAGTGCTTCAGTCAATTTCTGGATCTTACTATCGGCATACTGTTATGAAGACACATTATTCTGCTTAGTCTGCTTGCCTTTTAGTGAACTTAGTTATATTCATGTCTAAAAAAACCTGTAAACTTATTATGCATGACTCATTTTTTCATAGTCTTCAAAATGATTGTAAGGATAGATAATGATCTAGTAAACTAATGTTACAATTAACTATTAATCATTGGCTATTTAGATTTATAGTTTCACTTTTGTAGTTTTTGCCTCTATTGACATATTTTCTAAGGATAAATTTGTAGGAATAAAATTCTTGTGTGAAGGGGTTATTGATATTTATTTTTCTTTTCTTTTCTTTTCTTTTTTTTTTTTTGAGACGAAGTCTAGCTCTGTCACCCAGGCTCCGCCTCCCGGGTGCAAGCGATTCTCCTGCCTCAGCCTCCTGAGTAACTGGGATTACAGGTGCTAATCATGCCCAGCTAATTTTTGTATTTTTAGTAGAGACAGGGGTTCCACCATGTTGGCCAGGCTGACCTCCTCAAGCACTCCTGACCTCAAGCAGTCCGACCATCTCGGCCTCTCAAAGTGCTGGGATAAAGGCGTGAGCCACCACGCCCGGCCCATTTATTTTTCTTATTTAAACATTTTCTTCCTTTGACTTGTTTGCTTGTGTTTGTTCTCAGTTTTTAGAATCATTAAACATTTTGGCCATATAGAAAAATATACAGAAGCCTGGCCGGGCGTGGTGACTCACGCCTGTAATCCCAGCACTTTGGGAGGCCGAGGCGGGCGGATCAGGAGGTCAGGAGATCGAGACCATCCTGGCTAACACGGTGAAACCCTGTCTCTATTAAAAATACAAAAAATTAGCCGGGCGTGGTGGCGGGCTCCTGTAGTCCCAGCTACTCGGGAGGCTGAAGCAGGAGAATGGCGTGAACCCGGGAGGCGGAGCTTGCAGCGAGCCGAGATTGCGCCACCGCACTCCAGCTTGGGTGACAGAGTGAGACTCCGTCTCAAAAAAAAAAAAAAAAAAAAAAAAAAATACAGAAGGCTTTTATTTTATTTATCTTTACGACCTTTTCCCCTGTTGTTTAGGCACTTGTGTGAGCTCAAGAAACATCTAATGAATCAAAAGATAGTCCTTTGGTGCTTTAGAAATGTGGTTTTGAGATTAAGTCAAATCAATAAGTCTTTATTGAGCGTGTGTTAAGTACAATAGCACAGACCAAAGCGCAAAGAGATTCTGGGGATTTCGACTTATGAGTTAATTCAGGCTCCACTAGGGCAGAAGCTGTTGTTCACTTTTCTCCTTCTTGGGTGACAGGTGGGTCTGCATCACAGCTGCTCTGGAGGAAGAGCAGCCATCTCTTCCTGCTGTCACCATTGCCTTGGTAGGACTGGTGTGTGTATGGGTGTGTACTTGTCTTTCTTAACCTTTCACTTTTGAAGATCTTCCTTCTTCATCTTGTCCTGCCCTCTGGAAGGTGAGAAGTTGCTTGTGTTATCTCCATTTGTGTGCAGTCTAAAATGGCTACAGGGCATTCTAAGCAAAGGGGCTCGAGGAGGAGATGTTGGATATCTCAGGAGAAGACCCTGAAGAAATCCCTTCTCCCTAGAGGAAAAAAGTCGCGGGCAGCAATCGAGATGGCTCTACCGAATAAAGCAGTTTTTAGTCAACTTCTACCACCTAGTGGCCATTTCTGAGAGGCTCTTTTCCCCTTTATTTATTTTTAAAAGTATTTTGACATATGCAAAGACATTTGTATCTGTCAATCCATGTTTTCTTTAAAAATGTCAAGATCAAAATAACACAGTGTCACAAAGAGAAGTAATCATTGCAAGAACTAAAACCCAGAGATGCTTAAAGATGGTTCTTGGGCAACCACTTATATTTTAGTTTGTTCCCTTCAGTCCTATTTGAATTTTTAAAATTCTATTTGAATTTTTATTGTCACATGTGTATGATACTTTTATAATATATATTTTAAGTTTTTAAATTTATAAAGGTCTTTTTAATATATAAATAGAGCCGGGCAAGGTGGCTCATGCCTGTAATCCTAGCACTTTGGGAGGCCAAGGCTGGCAGATCACCTGAGGTCAGGAGTTCGAGACCAGCCTGGCCAACATGGTGAAACCCCATCTCTACTAAAAATACAAAAAATTAGCCAGGGATGGTGGTGCACGCCTGTAATCCCAGCTATTCGGGGGGCTGAAGCAGGAGAATTGCTTGAACTGGGGAGGCAGAGGTTGCAGTGAGCAGAGATCTCGCCACTGCACTCCAGCCTGGGCGACAAAGTGAGACTCAATCTAAAATATACATACACACACACACACACACACACACACACACGTTTTGAGGGGTGTTAATTTCTGGCAATTAGTGCAAAAGGTGTATTAAATATGAATGTGAAAAAAGTTTAAAAGGAAAAATTTTAAATGTTTGTTTTTCAGATAACCTTATATAACATGGGAAATAAACATTACTTAAAAATTTACTTCATTTGCTCCTACTTCACCAAATCAAATGGTTTCCATTTCTCAGGTTGTTTTCATTCATTGATCGATATGCAAACGTAGTTTTTCTCTCATATATAACAGTCCATCCAGATTTTCTGACATGGGATCAGAATCTTTAAATGCTTCATTATAGAAACATCACCATCTACAAGGGGGCATGAGTGAAATCAGTAGAATTTTCTTTGCTTGAGATCTCTTTTGCCAGAAGGGCAAGTGGCTTTTGTCAAATGAATTGTGTTTTGATGAAACAGTGTAGCTGATACTCAGAAGCCTGGAGCAAACCTTCTGGTACAGGAGAGGGCCCTTCTGTTGTGTAAGTTTTGCAGTAGCACAGACTGCATTTTTAGCTCTGACACAGTCTTCGTGATTTTGGACAAAAACTAGACTTTCAGACTCGATTCCTTGGTGCATTAGTTTGCTAGGACTGCCATAGCAAAGTACCACAGACTGTGGCTTAAACAGCAGAAATGTATTGTCTCACAGTTCTGGAGGCTGGAAGTCTGAGATCAACGTGTTGGCTGGGTTGGTTTCCTATGAGACTGCTTCTCTTGGTTTGCAGGCAGCTGCTGTCTTGATGTGCCCTCACGTGGTCACCCCTCAGGGTGTGTCTGTGTCCTGTGTCTGTGGCCTCATCTCCTCTTCGTATACGAATATCAATCATATTAGATTAGGGTCCACCCTTAATGACCTCATTTTAACCCAATTGCCTCCTTAAAGATCCTATTTCTAAATACGGTCACATTCAGAAGCACTGGGGCTTAGGGCTTCAGCACTTGAATTTTGGAAGTCACAACTCAGCTCATAGTGCCTGGCTTGGGAATATGGCTAATAATTTCGCCTGGCAGAATTGTGCAGTTGTGAGGTCATGTTTAGAAAACTCCTGGTGTGATGCCAAGGTGCACAGTAGCTGCTCAATGAACAAGCTGTTATTCCTACTTCAGTTTGGATTTTGAATATCAGATTTCCTTAAAGTGAGGAGCCCCTATAACAGAATCCAGGGATTTTTAAAATATTGGATCAAAATGCCATTCAGTCAACTAGGACCTGACACTAATCTATCTCATTGCATCTTCTCTGGCCTTCATGCTGCACCAAGACACTGCACGTACTAAATGCTCCACTTTTAGGAATGCTTAATTGTCCTGTCTGGGTCCACTCACTCCAGTTACTCCAGCTCACCCTGGGAGGCAGTAAGCCATCCCAAGAACCATGGTTAGGACCATAGGTCCTGGAGTCCCCAAGATGTCCAGCTCCATTGCTTACATCCTAGACATAGGCATGGTATTTAACCTCTTTAAAGCTTCAGTTTCCCCATTTGTGAAATGGGGGTAATTGCATCACTACTAAATCTGTAGCATTCTTTTGAGAACTGAAAAAAATGGTCAAAGTAAAGCCCTTGGCATAATGGTAACAGACAATAGATAAGCTCTTAATTTTAAAAAATGTTTAAAAATTTTTTCGAGACAGGGTCTCACTCTGTCTCCTAGGCAGGAGTGCAGTGGTGCTATCACAGCTCACTGCAGCCTCGAACTCCTGGGCTCAAGTGATCCTCCCATCTCAGCCTCCCGAGTAGCTGGGACTACAGGTGCTGGCACCATACCTGGCTAGTTTCGTTGATTTTAATTTTTTGGCAGAGTCTCGTTATGTTGCCCAGGCTTGTCTCAAACTCCTGGGCTCAAGCGATCCTCCCGCCTCATCTTGGTTTCCTGAAATGCGGGGATTAAAATATAAACCACCGTGTCTGGCCGGTAAACTCATTACTGTTGGCTTTTATTATGATTTTTATTTGCCTCCCAGTACCTAGGTATTTAATTATAAGAGGAATGCCCTTTCAGAATCCCTGTCATAGTATTGCAGTTAGCAGGGCTAGCTCCACTGCATTCCTGAGAAGTGATGCTTGGGAGGCTGATATCTCTCCTGCATCCTGCTGCTGCCCTATAAAGGAGGAGGGCAGTGGGGCTCAACTCCCAGCCTGCACACCTCCTCCTCTTCCTTAGCTTGCTGATCTTTCTCTTAAGGGCTTTTTCCTCCCTCTGCCTACCCCGGTAATGACTACCCTCTTTTCCATTTTTTTTAAACTTTTATTTTAGGTTCAGGGTTACATGTAAAAGTTCGTTACATAGGTAAACTCATGTCACAGGGTTTTGTTGTACAGATTATTTGATCACCCAGGTATTAAGCCCAGTACCCAATAGTTATCTTTTCTGCTCCTCTCCCCCCACCCACCCTCCACCCTCAAGTAGACACCAGTGTCTGTTGTTTCCTTCTTTGTGTTCATAAGTTCTTGTCATTTAGCTCCTGCTTATAAGTGACAACATGTGGTATTTGGTTTTCTGTTCCTGTGTGACTTTACTAAGGACAATGACCTCTAGCTCCATCCATGTTCCTGCAAAAGACATGATCTTGTTCGTTTTTACGGCTGCTTAGTATTCCACGGTGTGTATGTACCACATTTGCTTTATTCAATCTGTCATTGATGGTCATTCAGGTTGATTCCATGTATTTGCTATTGTGAATAGTGTTGCAGTGAACATTCGCGTGCATGTGTCTTTATGGTAGAATGATTTATATTCCTCTGGGTATACACCCAGTAATGGGATTGCTGGGTCAAATGGTAGTTCTGCTTTTAGCTCTTTGAGGAATCGCCATACTTCTTTCCATAATGGTTGAACTAATTGACACTCCCACCAACAGTGTATAAATGTTCCCTTTTCTCTGCAGCCTAGCAGCATCTGTTATTTTCTGACTTTTTAATAATAACCATTCTAACTGGTGTGAGGTGGTATCTCACTGTGGTTTGAATTTGCATTTCTCTAATGATTAGTGGTATTGAGCTTTCTTTCATATGCTTGTTGGCCGCATGTATGTTTTCTTTTGAAAAGTGTCTGTTCATGTCCTTTGCCCACTTTTTAACGGGGTTGTTTGTTTTTCTCTTGCAAATTTAAGTTCCTTATAGATGCTGGATATTAGACCGTTGTCAGATGCATAGTTTGCCAGTATTTTTTCCCATTGTGTATGTTGTCTGTTTACTCTGTTGGTAGATTCTCTTGCTGTGCAGAAGCTCTTAAGTTTAATTAGATACCACTTGTCAATTTTTGCCTTTGTTGCGATTGCTTTTGGTGTCTTTGTCATGAAATCTTTGCTCATTCTTTTTTTTTTTTTTTTTTTTTTTTTTTTTTCAGACAAAGTCTCGCTCTATCGCCCAGGCTGGAGTGCAGTGGCACAATCTTGGCTCACTGCAACCTCCGCCTCCTGGGTTCAAGCAATTCTCCTGCCTCAGCCTCCAGAGAAGCTCAGACTACAGGCGCACACTGCCACACCCAGCTAATTTTTTGTATTTTAGTAGAGACGGGGTTTCACCATGTTGCCCAGGCTGGTCTCAAACTCCTGAGCTCAGGCAATCCACCTGCCTCAGCTTCCCACAGTGTTGGGATTACAGGCGTGAGCCATCGTGCCCAGCCTCTCTGCCCATTCTTATGTCCCGAAGGGTATTGCCTAGGTTGTCTTGTGGGATTTTTATAGTTTTGGGTTTTACATTTAAGTCTTTAATCCATTGTGAATTGATTTTGTATATGGTGTAAGGAAGGGGTCCAGCTTCAATCTTCTACATGTGGCTAGCCAGTTATCCCAGCACCATTTATTGAATAGGAAGTCTTTTCCCCATTGCTTGTCTTTGTCTAGTTTGTTGAAGATCAGGTGGTTGTAGGCATGCAGCATTATTTCTGGGCTCTCTATTTTGTTCTATTGATCTATGTGCCTGTTTTTGTACCAGTACCATGCTGTTTTGGTTACTGTAACCCTGTAGTATAGTTCAAAGTCAGGAACCATAATTTCTCTGGCTTTGTTCTTTTTGCTTAGGATTGCCTTGGCTATTCAGGCTCTTTTTTGGTTCCATATTATTATTGTTTTGGAGTCTCACTCTGTTGCCCAGGCTGGAATGCAGTGTCACAATCTTGGCTCACTGCAACTTCTGCCTCCTGGTTTCAAGCGATTCTCCTGCCTCAGCCTCTCAAGTAGCTGGGATTACAGGTGCATGCCACCATACCTGGCTAATTTTTGTAATTTTAGTAGAGACGGGGTTTCACCATATTGTCCAGGCTGGTCTCGAACTCCTGACCTCAGGTGATCCACCCACCTCAGCCTCCTAAAGTGCTGGGATTACAGGCATTGGGCACTGCGCCTGACCCCATATTAATTTTAAAGTAGTTTCTTTTTTCTAGTTCTGTGAACAATGTCATTGGTAGTTTGATAAGAATAGCATTGAATCTGTACGTTGCTTTGGATTGTATGGCCATTTTAATAATATTGATTTTTCCTATCCATGAGCATGGGATGTTTTTCCATTTGTTTGTGTCTTCTCTGATTTCTTTGAGCAGTGTTGGAGATCTCTCACCTCCCTGGTTAGCTGTATACCTAGGTATTTTATTCTTTTTTTGTGGCAATTGTGAATGGGATTGCCTTTCTGATTTGGCTCTCAGCTTGACTGTTGTTGGTTTATAGGAATGCCAATGATTTTTGTACATTGATTTTGTATCCTGAAACTTTGCTGAAGTTGTTTATCAGCTGAAGGGCTGAGACTCTCTGCCTAATTATAACCATGTTACAGTATCTGAAAGAACCTTCTCTTGGCTGGGTGCAGTGGCTCACGCCTGTAATCCCAGCACTTTGGGAGGCCGAGGCAGGGGAATCACCTGAGGTCAGGAGCTTGAGACCAACCTGGCCAACATGGTGAAACCCCGTCTCTACCAAAAAAAAAAAAAATTAGCTGGACATGGTGGTGGGCGCCTGTAATCCCAGCTACTCAGGAGGCTGAGGCAGGAGAATCTCTTGAACCCAGGAGGCGGAGGTTGCAGTGAGCAGAGATCACGCCACTGTACTCCAGCCTGGGCGATAAGAGCAAAACTCTGTCTCAGAAAAAAAAAGAATCTTCTTTTTCTCTTGCTTTCCATTGACAATTCCTCCCCACACTTTCCCTCCCTTCTCTGCAAAACTTCTTGAAAGAGTAGGGAGTATGCTGAACATTTGCTTCTGTGCCATCCATATCCTCCTTAGCACCTTCACCTTTTCAGCCTGCTCCTGGAATTCTACCTGAAACAGCTCCCTTGAAGCAATTCTTCTCTTTTGCCTTCCTACTTGTTCTGTCTTTGCAGTTTTTATTGCCCAATATCTCCCCCCTCACCCACTTTTTTTTTGAGACAGGGTCTGGCTCTGTTGGCCAGGCTGGAGTGCAGTGGCGTGATCACAGCTGACTGAAGCCTTAACCTTCTGGGTTTGAGCAATTCTCCCATCTCAGCCTCCTGAGTAGCTGAGACCACAGGTACATGCCACTGAGCCAGGCTAGTTTTTATTTTTATTTTTTGCAGAGATGGGGTCTCCTACATTGTCCAGATTGTTCTTGAACTCTTGGCCTCAAGCAATCCTCCTGCCTCAACCTCTCAAATCCACAGTGCCCAGTCCCACATCTCCTTTTTGAAACTATTTTTGTCTGGTTTTCATGACTTTGCTCTGGATTGTCACAAGACTAGTAAACTTCCGCAGATGTCTCTAAGTCTCTAACTTGATACTACACTTCTGGAGTGTGGCAGGACCTGGGACATGAACCCAGCTTAGACACAGGGAGGAAGTTGGTGTAAAGAAGGGAACGGGCACAACTGGAGCCAGGGGCCTGATTGGGAAGACTTCTTGGGAGTGCTGCCTTCCCTCTGTTCTGCTTCTCTTCCCATCTCTTACATCTTTTTCTTGCTTGCCTTTCTGATCCAACTTCTTAAAGTTAGTAGGACCCAAGTTTCAGTGTTCCATTCCCATTCAACCTTCTTATCCCTTCTAATACTTCAATGATCATATCTACACAGATAAATGTCTCTTGACCTTTCTCCTGACCATCAGCCCATCATCTCTTATGACTTGCTAGGGACTTCCAACCACATCCATCCCAAATCTCAAACTTAACTTTAGGGGTGCCATTATTTCTTCATACTGCCTTGCACTGTGGTCCTTTCCTCTCAATTCCTTCCACTCCAACTCCCTTCCACTTTCCCACCACCTCTCTCCTGCTTCCCACTTCCAGTCCTCCCAACCCGTACCTGGGCTCCTCATCCTGCTGCCTCTCTTTTCCCTCAGAGTCATCTTTCCCCGAAAGCCTAGTTGGTACAGATTCCCCGCTGCTTCAGAATCTTTAATGGCCCCTTCTTGGTGATGAGAAAAAAGCTCAACCCCTTAGTTAGCCTGGCATTAAAGGCCTTTCACAACCTGGCCTTCACCTTCATCTCTGAAGTCGCCTTCTCTGGATTCTCGCCAAGATGAGCTGTCAGCTGCAGGTTGGGGGTTCTCTTAGACAAGCCATGTGGCTTGACTCTCAATTTTCCTCTTGCCTGAGAGACTCTCCCTGTCTTCTCTCCTCTTTCACAAAGACCACCTGAGCCCATAGTGGTTTTCTGCCTCCTCCGAAGTTCTAAGTAACTTTAAAAAATGTGTCTCTGTGTACTCCCCAAAGAGCCAAGACCCCTGCAGGCAGAACCTGTATTTTATTTGGGTGCAGAAAGTTTGCTGGGCAATCCAGTCCTGTTGGATGCACTGCCTGTTACTAGCCATGCTGTGGGCAACTCTCTGCATCTCAGTTTCTTTGGTTTATTATAAAATTGGAATGATTCCTTCCTGCTTTCCCAAATGTTGGTTGTAATAATCAAAAGAGCAAATGGATGAGAAAATGCTTTGAAACTCTAATAATAAGCAATGTCAGATATTGTCAGTTTTCCTTTCCAATCCCTGGCTTGTCTGTCTATCCGTATCCATCTTTCTTACTATAAACAATTAAGTGTAAAGCAGACTTCTCAGCTTTAAGCTTTGCCTGGAAAGAACAATTGCAAAGGGCTATCACTCCTTAAGCCCCAGGACATAAGAAGATTACCAGCTGGGCACAGGGAGCTGGGATCCTTCTGCCAGGCTGCTTAGATGATGGGTGCCCGGAGGAGCAGGTACTTACCATCTGTCAAGGCGTCTGGCTCATGCTCAAGAATGCAGCTCAGTTTCTCAGCTGACAACACACATCTGACCCAAGGTGTGAAGCTCAGGATCTCAGACATGTGTGATCCAGGATGATTCACTTCCCTGTATGGTCCTGTGAGAACACTTTCGCCTTACGCATTTTCTATTACTATCATGGCCACCAGTGGAATGCAGATATTTAGTCTCTGCTCACTCCATTTGCCACCACTGCCAAATGGCCGATGCTGCTGAGGGCTCTTCTCAAACTGGCAGGTGTGTTCTCCTTATCACCTGTCTCATGTGTGTTTCATTTTCTCTTCTCAATTTCTCCAAGGTTAGGATTAAAAAGAACACATTTATTTATTTATGACTTTATTTAGATAGATACAGTGCTGATGGTGTGCAAGCCAATTTCATAGGCTTATTCTTAGTTGGTCCTTATTGCTGTGAAGTTCACTGCCTTAAAATTTAAAATGTGAGGAATCACAGGAAGTGGAAGAAATAATTGCACCTGGGATCCTGAACCATGTCACTGCAGACCTGCTTACCTACTGCCTTATTGCATGTCCTCTGTTACGTGTGAGCCAGTCTCATCTATTCAAGTAGCCTGTTATTTTTTTGAATTGATAGACTTTATTTTTTCTTTTTATAGAGACAGAGTCTCTTTATATTGCCTAGGCTGGTCTCCTGGACACAAGTGATCCTTCTGCCTTGGCCTCCCAAACTGCGGGGATTACAGGCGTGAACCACCGTGCCCGTGTCCGACCAGTAGACTTTATTTTTTGAGATGGAGTTTTGCTCTTGTTGCCTGGGTTGGAGTGCAATGGTGCGATCTCGGCTCACCACAACTTCCGCCTCCTGGGTTGACTATTTTTAACAGCAGTTTTAGGTTTGCAGAAAAACTGAACAGAAAGTACAGAGTTCCTGTATACTCCCTCCCCTTCTCCACAGCTTCCTCTATTATTAACATCTTGCATTGGGTTGCACATTTTTTACAACTGATGAGCCAATATTGATACATTACTATAAACTGAGGTCCATAGTTTACATTAGGGTTCACTCGTTGTGTTATACATTCAATGGGTTTTGCCAAATGCATAATGTCGTGTATCCACTGTTACAGTATCCTGCTGAATGATTTCACTGCCCTAATAATCTCCTGCGGTCTGTCTATTCATCCCTTTTCCCTTCTCTTTGCCGCCAAGCAACCAGCTAATTTTTGCATCCCCCGCAATGCCTAGCACTGCTTGTGTATCCAGGAGGTGCTAATTAAATGCATAGGTTGGTTGATGGCAACAGTAACCAAAGAGATGAAACCATGGATTTAATGTCTATGAGAATATCAACACATAGTCTTGGTGTGCTCAGGCAGCGCTTCTAGAACCATCATCTGTAGCAAATCATGGGATGTTCCAAATCAGCTCTTCATGAGCAGGAAGGTGGAAAGCCTCTGGATTAGGACAAAATCTTCTCAATGAGTGAAGTGCTTTAGTCAGCGTCTCCTGGGAAGGGCTATGGTTTGATCACGGTGTGCAGCTTTGCTGTTTCAAGGGCCCTGGGGGCAAACCAGTCAGATGAGCTTCTGGCATTGACCTTGTGCAGGAGGGGCAGCTGGAGCTGTGGGTGAGTGCACATTTCATTGGGCAAGTGCTTTTGCAAGAGGCTCAAGGGCTGTCGGTGCTATTCGTTCCCCAATAGTGTTAGCTCATTCAATGTCATTTCCTGGAAGACAGGTAAAGAAAATAGATGATTTTGATTGTTAGGGAGAATGACTTCCTTTGAAGAATGAATGGAGAAAAATGCCTTCCTGACAAGATGATAAAACCTCTTTATAATACTTCATGCAAACTTCGACTAAATCATCTTATTTCTCAGTTGGGGAGGTGAAATGAATAATAGCAGAATAGGGGAAGGGAAGATAGAAACTAGCAATGATTGAGGGTTGCTACATATGAAACTGTTCAAATGCATTATGTCATTAGAGTCAGTTCTTGCCATATATGCCTGAATGGAAAGAATTTTGCACAGATAACTTTTTTGAATGTCTATTTGGCTTTAGAATTCACATTCAGTTGTTTTGATAGAGGGGTAGGCAGCTGCAGATTGACCTTTCCAAATCCATGGGAACCAGGCTGGTGATAAAGTCGGCTGTCAATCACTAAGCAAAGCTCGGCAGATGGGTGGTGGAAGATGACCTGGGAGCAAGGAATATCTTTGGTGGATGACATGATTTGGCTGTGTGCCCACCCAAATCTCATCTTGAATTGTAGTTGCATTAATCCCCATGTGTGGTGGGAGGGACCTGGTGGGAGGTAATTGAATCATGGGGGCAGTTACCTCCATGCTGTTCTCATGATAGCGAGTTCTCACGAGATCTGATGGTTTTATAAGGGGCTTTCCCACCTTCACTCTGCACTTCTCTTTCCTGCCACCATGTGAAGAAGAACATGTTTGCATCCCCTTTCATCACGATCATAAGTTTCCTGAGGCCTCCATAGCCATGCTGAACTATGAGTCAATTAAGCCTCTTTCCTTTATAAATTACCCAGTCTCGGACATGTCTTTATTAGCAGCATGAGAACTGACTAACACAGTGGAATTGTAAACTGTTTCCAGTGGTCATCACTGGTCTTCAGTCTCTGTTCTCACATGCTGTAGCATGGCCTCAGGGATGTATTCTCATCCTCTTCTACACCCTTGCTGGAGCCTCCTCACCTGAGTGGCCTCAGGAACGGGTAACTACCAATCAAATGATATATTGAAAGGTTAAAAACCCAGAGGCTAAATAGATCCCTGGAGATTGAAAAAGGAAGTTGTTCAATATTGCCTCAAGATTTTCATGATGTACTTTCAGACCCCTAAGTTTCCTTATGTACCACATATACATACACTTCAGTTCAAACTCTGGCTGTTTAGAAGGCTAGTTGAGATGTAATGACTTCTTGTTCTTTGAGAAAGCGCAAAAAGCTGACTGGAGTCAGAGCAAAAGAAGTAGTGGTTGCTTTTCTCAATAGGCAAAAGGTGAAGGGAAGTGGTAATCATATTCTCAGAGGTTTCAGGCCAAAGACTTGGAGATGGCAACCCATTGTGAAGAGAGGGTCAGGTAACAAAAGCCTTCAAAACCTGACCAAGATGATTAAAGTAAAAATTCCTTAGCCACCCTCCCCACCCCTATGCATCAGAGCTGAGCCTCAGACACTGAAGGAGGGCAGCCTGGAATCCAGGTGGCTCCCCAAGGTCAGTTCCTCACACCAGTGGGCTCCATGCTCTGTTCACACATTAATAAAAAGAATATGCCTCTTTAGTACATTCTTTCTTTTCTTTCTTTCTTTCTTTCTTTCTTTCTTTCTTTCTTTCTTTCTTTCTTCTTTTCTTTCTTTCTTTCTCTTTCTTTCTTTCTTTCTTTCTTTCTTTCTTTCTTTTCTTTTCTTTTCTTTTCTTTTCTTTTCTGTCTTTTTTTTTTTGACAGAGTTTTGCTCTTGTTGCCAGGCTGGAGTGCAGTGGCACGATCTTGGCTCACTGCAACCTCCGCCTCGCGGGTTCAAGCAATTCTCCTGCCACAGCCTTCCTAGTAGCTGGGATTACAGGTGTCTGCCACCACGTCCAGCTAATTTTTGTATTTTTAGTAGAGACGGGGTTTCACTATGTTGGCCAGGCTGGTCTCGAACTCTGGACCTCAGGTGATCCACCCACCTCGGCCTCCCAAAGTGCTGAGATTACAGGCATGAGCCACCATGCCCAGCCCTCATATTTCTTTTAAAATAAATTATATACATTATTTTAAATTGTAAAAATCCAAAAAGCCAAAAATTTTTAAAAGAATGAGATAAACAGTATCTTTCAAATAATGAAAAAAAAATGGTATATAATGTTAGATTTAGGCTTGGCTTCATATAAGAAAAAACAACTAATGGTGGCATAAACAAGGTAACAATTTTTCTCTGTCCCATAAAGGAAATCTAAAGGAAGGCAATCCAGCAGGGATATGGCAACCCCACAAAGTTGTCATGGAACCAGACTAATTCCAGTTATCTGCTTTGCCATTACTAAGCTGTGGCTTTGTCTTCAAGGTTCAAGATGGCGTCTAGAGCTCCAGCCATTGTATCCATAGTCCCAGATGCCTGATGAATGAAAGAAAAGTCTCCTCTTCCCCTTTAAGATTTCTTTAAGTCCCATAAAACATTTTGAAACCAGATTGGAAGTCTTTTAACCTTCTGATTCCAACCTAGAGCAAGGAAATCCCCCAAGGAGTGCTCTACCATGTGAAATCTTCTCTTCCCCATGTTGTCATGATCCTGCCCTCATGTGCTCTGACTATTGCCAAGCCTTGGATTTCATTTCTGGAATAATGCCTTGCTCAATATTAGAACCACTTTAGTTAGGATTTGGGGGAGGCAGCATGATTGAAGAACGTGAGTGCTGTTGACGACAGTATTGTTGGTGAAAGCAGCTCCAGTTCCACAACTTACGATCTGAGACATCGTGTGGCCATTCATGTACAGGCTTTCAGAACTGAGAGAACTTTGGTAGACTAATCAAGATGAGATAGGTTATCCGGTGGCAACAAAGATACCTACGTCTCAGTAGCTTAATTCAATGTATGCTTCCTTTTCTCTTGTTCATGTTTTATGTTTTATAGAAGTTTACAGGCAAGATCCTACTCACAGAGGCTCTTGGGATCAAGGCTGACAGAAGCTCCATCTGAAGACTTTTATACTATAGAGGCAGAAAAAGAGTGATGAATCAAGCACTGGCTTCTAAAGCTTCCGCCCAGATGGGAAGCATATCTCCTCTGCTCACATTTCCCTGACCAAAGCCAGTCACATGGCCATCCTCAGCTTCAGAGAGGTTGGGAAGGCATTCCCACTATGTGTCTGGATGCCAGCAACTCAGAAATATTTGGTGAGTGCCTCTGTGGCTACTGGTAGTTTAGTTCTTATGCCTATGTTCCAGTTTTGTCCTCTGAAAGGCCAAATCTGAAATTCAAAATCTTACAAACAGGTTTATACTTGAAAACGGGTAAACATTCTCATAACATAAAGCTTAATAATATTCATGAGCTTATTTTTGCAAACTCTGCATCACACCGAAAAGAGAAGTTCTCTGGCTTCCTCAGCTCAGGGGCTGTCTCATTACTTGGTCCCTAAGACCACAGCTGGGGACTGGTTCTACCTACTATGGAAGTTTCACCAGCCAGGACAAAATAAAAAAGAAAGGAAAAACCAGGATAAATGAGCTTTTGAGAAAGCAAAATTCACTGTTTTTAAGGAACTGTCCTAGCTTCTATCACATATGTATTATTTTTTTGAGGTTAAAAGAAGGCTTTTCTATATGAAATAGTGGCGATGGTAGTTGGTAGAAGTTTTTTTTTTTTAAAGAAATGTATGGCTGGGTGCGGTGGCTCACGCCTGTAATCCCAGCGCTTTGGGAGGCTCAGGCAGGCAGATCACCCGAGGTCAGGAGTTCAAGACCAGCCTGGCCAACATGGTGAAACCCTGTCTCTACTAAAAATACAAAATTAGCTGGGGATGGTGGCGTGTGCCTGTAGTCCCAGCTACTCGGGAGGCTGAAGCAGGAAAATTGCTTGAACTCAGGAGGTAGAGGTTGCAGTGAGCCGAGATTGAGCCATTGCACTCCAGCCTGGGCAAAAAAGAGCAAAACTCTATCTTAAAAAAAAAAAAAAGTAAATTTACTTGGCAAAATAAAATGTTAGTGTCATTATATATCTCACCTTCTTGTTTTTTCTTAAATTTTTAGCAACCAGCCATGAAACAAAAGTTTAAAAGCCACTCATCTGGTTTCCCCTTTGTTTTCAAAGAAGGAAGCTAGAAAATTAAGTGATGTATCCCCAAACACACACATTTAATTGGAGAAAGAACCCCTAATCAATTCTTGAATTCAAATTTCAAATTAGCTGAATGGCATGAACCTTTCTTCCCCTGGAATAGCCTTACAGAGACCTCACCATTAACAGCATCTGCAAGAGAAGATTAAAGCACACGATTACTTTACTCACTGTGTAACACATGAGGAACATGGACGAGATGGGAAAAAGGTGAGTGGCTTAACGTCAAGCACTTCATTAATGAGATGAACTCCTGACTTTGGACAGTGGTCCACTTACAGACGCTGTCTTTGAAACTGCCTGCAGAGCCTCCTGAGATCTTCTAATATGGCTGTTGAATTGGGGCATTTAAAAGCTTCTGATGGTTGCAATGTGCATCAGTTTTGGGGGACAGGGAGGTCCCCTCTCTCTCATTAAGAAGACACAAGCCAGGAATTTATACTGATCAGACAACATAAAAATCAGCTGTGAGAGGATTGGGTCAGAAAACCAATGAAGAGAGGTTGGCCAGAAGATTAAAAATCAGAAAAAGAGGCTTGAAATTGCTGAGCTTTCTAATGATAATAAGGTTGCCACCTATTATTATGGCCACTCATGTTGTCCCCCTGTATATGAGAGCTGTGAGAGTAACAAAGTGTTACGTGTCAAGGGTCACATGTGACAATCAATGTGAAAGATGGAAAGAGAGGGCTGGTGCCTATCACCTAGGAATGATAGGTGATATGGCCGAGGTGATAAACAGTGAGAGGGGGGCGAGTGTCTCTTCCTCGGTGGAAGTTGGAGTAAATGTAGACACGGATAGAGAACAAAGTCTACTTATTCAAAACCGAGCAGCCAGGGGAGGAGCAGTCCTCCCACAGTGAACTATTGAATTGTGAATAAATCTCTGACTGGAGAGATTCTGAGTCAGGGGGATTAGCTGTTCCTATATTACATGTGGTAAACTGGCAGAAACAGGTTTAAACCATTGAGTGGTAGGTCTTTAGGCAGAGTAAAATTAATGTACCCTTCCTTAATGGCTTTGGCTGTTTGACCATGTAAACGCATTTTGAGTATCACATCTCTAGCGGAGGCTAATCACTGGGAGGTAAAGATGACCACAAGTTGCAGGCATCTCGGGATCACAGGTCTAGAGCGGGAGCCTGCAGCCTCTCTGCCAGTTTCCCATGAATTATCTCACTATTGTGGCTTTAAGACAATATGCACTGCAAAAGGAAGGTTATTTACATTATATATTTAGCCTAACACTAGGATAACATCCTTTGGCATGGCCACTATCTGATGGTATTTGAAACTGAACCAACTTCCTATTTCCAGGCATTAACAAATGAGAGTCTTCATGTTGTCTAATGTTATTTCCTGAGTTTAAGACTGATTTCTTTTCTCCAATTCATTCACATTTCTTTAAAGAAAAGATCTCCTTTAAACAATTAAATTTCCCAGAATTGTTTGAGCATTGTTATTGTTCTCAATGAGAATATTTCCTATTTAACTCTAGTTATGTAACTTGATGGGAATTTTCTTCAGTATCTATCATTGCCATACTCAGAGAATTTGCAGGACACTTGACAGATAAATCAACCAGCCTGTCAAGAGTCAGAATCTTAATTTAGATCATTCATTCCAACAAGTCTCTGGGCAGACAGGATGCAAAAATGAATAAGGCATGGCATTTGCCCTCAAACAGCTTACAATTTAGAAGGGGAGATGAAAAGGAACATTGATTGTATATAAAGCATGATTGTCATAGCCCTTCTCCTGTCTCATCTTCCTCTGGGAATAAAATTAAGGGAAGGGGGAGAGAATATTATGCATGAAAACACAGCATACTTATTTGCTAAGTATAAGTCTCATTATATGAATGGAGAGTGACAGTTTGTACTCAGGCATCAGAAAATGCCATTTTCTCTAGTGAGAGAACAGTATATGATTGTGGGTAGGAATATGGGCTCTATAGCCAGATTTCCTGGGCCCAAATCCCTGCTCGGCCACTTACTGTGTTTGAGATTTTGAGTAAGTTCTAACCTTCTGTGCCTCAGTTACCTCGTCTAGAAATGGATATGAAACCAGGTTATTGTAAAGGTGAAATACCTTTAACAAGTTTAAATTGTATAGAATAGTGTCTGTCATGTTGTAAGTGTCCATGAGTTATTATTAGTAAACTTCTAAGAGATTTCCATATTCTTAAACACAATTTTTGGTAGTGATAATATTTTATTTCCATTTAAATGTGGTAAAAAAAAACCCATCATATTTACCACGCTTATGTGTAGAGGTCAGTCGTATTAATTTATTCACACTGTTGTGCAATGGATATTTAGAGCTTTTTTTTGAGACAGAGTCTGTCTCTGTCACCAGGCTGGAGTGCAGTGGTGGGATCTCGGCTCACTGCAACCTCCGCCTCCCAGGTTCAAGCAATTCCCCTGCTTCAGCCTCCCGAGTAGCTGGGACTACAGGCGCGTGCCACCATGCCCAGCTAATTTTTGTACTTTTAGTAGAGACGGGGTCTCACCATGTTGGCCAGGATAGTCTTGATCTCTTGACCTTGTGATCTGCCCGCCTCGGCCTTCCAAAGTGCTGGGATTTCAGGCATGAGCCACCATGCCCCGCCCTTTAGAACCTTTTATTTTACAAAACTTTTTAAAAAGGATACTCTGTATCCTTTAAACTACACCTCTTCATTTTCCCCTTTCCCAGTCCCCAGCAGCCATCAGTTTACTTTCTGTTTCTAGGAATCTTACTACTTAGTTACTTCATATAAGTGGAATCATATAGTATTTGTTACCTGGCAAAAGAGTTGTACATTTTACTTCCTCTGAGCTCCTAGATTCTGGCTACAATTTCATACCTCTAGTATTTCATGTTCATTGACTGTGTAAATGTAATCTGTAGATATGCATAATTTCAATGCAACAGAGCAACTGCTGATCCTGCTAGTGATGCAAAGATTCTAGGCTATGACCTCAGATTGTGTCAGCATGGCATTACTCCATTTCCAATCTCATGAAGACTTTGGTAGTATTCACAAGAAAGAGTTGTCCAGTAATTTAAATTTAAAAGATTGATAGAACAATCATCCCTTCATCATTTGCTCTTTGTTATCCTCTCTGTGGACAACCTTTACATGTCTTAGCAGCCAGAACTTAGAAGCAGAGGGAAACTATAGATGTCATTTGTTTATTTGCAGGCAGCAGGATTCATGGTGTCTAATCTTCACCATGACATTTAAAGTAGGCACATTTGGGGATGGCTGTCCAAAGTGATGGTCTCCACTTGCCCCTCATTCAGGGTTGGTTTCCTGGGGGCTATGCTTGTCTTGTGTTCCTATGGGGTCCACTTCTTCAGTTACACTTGATGACCTGAGAGAGGGACCCCCGACCTACTGAGCTCACTAGGATCTTGCTCCTAAAGATCCAGAATCGGCTCCAAGAGGGTCGAGCTCTTCATGTGGCTGGATTACAAACAGGTAAACTTGGAAGCAACTGGAAGCAGATGTGCAGAAAAAAGTAGGGATGAGCAAGACTTCCAGGGTCCTTCTGGCTTTCCAGAGCTGGCTCTAGTGTTTCCAGAAGACCAGCTTCCTTATGCCTTCAGACTCCATGAAATGACTCTTGTTTCCTCACCAAAATTTGTTTTACTTCAGTTAGAGTATATTGGTTTTGGTTAGTTGCAATTAAGAGTGCTAATTAATACAGCATTGTGTTGGAATGAGAAAGCTGTCAAAAAACTAAAGGAAGACTGCTATAGTACCCACACCAGAGATTTGGAGTTGGGAGGTTTACCAGTGAGGGATCAATTGGAGAAGGAGAACCACTATAAGTATTGTGGAATAAGGAATGTATTACAGGAATTAGACCTCACACAATTGTGAGAAAAGCTGGAGAAGCAGAAGTCTAAAAAGGGAGATGAAGGATCTGAGAAAGGTGTTTAACCAGCCCTGTGTGGGTGAATGAGTTGGGGCTTACAGAAAATCTGGGAGCTATGTATGTACAGCTGTTGGAGGAGGACTGTAAAGGGGCTGGTATAGACATCTACAGAAGGTTGATGGTTCTGTGTCTACTTCCTCTGTGAATGTGCAGACAAGCATCTCATAGGGAGCCTGGGGCTGCTATTGGTCCATAGAGCTAGTAGTTGAGGAGGAGACCTGGGCATGGAATAGGGAGAGACAGGGCAAACTGGAAACCACCAGCACCTTTGCATCTGTCTCTGACTGTCTCCAACCAACAGTAACCTTAGAACAAAATGACTACTGCTCACTGCCACCTCCCAAATATTATTCTTTTGGCCAAGTGTAGCTGGGATCCATTCAGGGAAGGTGATTCTGCAAAACATAGTTCCCAGAATAATCAAGGTGAAAATAGAATAATCTTGCACACAGGTCTTTGATAAGACTAGGAATATATAATACATAACAGCTAGGAAAAAATATATAAATTTTCCCCAAGTGCTTATAATGAACAAACATATTTGGGAACCATATCCACCTAGCCTAGTCAACTAAATTAAAAGCTGGAGTCATCTTAGATGCTTTCCTCTCAATTACCCTCAACATCTAGTTACCAAGTTTCATATAATTTTACTTCCTAAGTGTCTCTTGAATATGGCCCCATTTTCTCCCTTTTTCTCTCACTCTCTCTCCTCTCATTTTGACACAAGGTCTTACTTTGTCATCTAGGCTGGAGTGCATTGGCGTGAACATGGCTTACTGCAGCCTCAACCTCCCAGACTCAAGTGATCCTCCTGCCTCAGCCCCCCAAGTAGCTGGAACTACAGGTGCATGCTACCATACCCAGCTAATTTTTTTTTTGTAGAGATAGGGTTTCACCATGTCACCCATACTGGTCTTGAACTCCTAGACTCAAGCGTTCCACTTGTGTTGGCTTCCCAAAGTGCTGGGATTACAGGTGTGAGCCACCGCGCTCAGCCAGCCATATCTTCTCTATCCTTGTTACAAATGCTTATGGTGTCTTACCTGGAACTCCTACCTGTTTCCTAATCAGTCTTTCTGCATCTACCACAAATCTGTCCATACTACCACTACAGAAGGGGGTCCCAACCCTCACTGTGCTTTAGAATCACCTGGAGGGCTTAAAAAAATCCATTGCCTGGGCCCCACTCTAGACCATATATCGGACCCTCTCACAGCAACCTTCTATGGTACCACCATTACCTTTGTTTTGCAGATGAGCAGACTGAGACTTAGCAGAGGGTTAAATAACTTCTCAAAGTCCACAGCTAAGAAGTAGTGGAGCTTGGATATAGTGCCGTTATCTGAGTGCAGAGCGTATCCTCCTAACCACATAGTATGATGCCTTCCAGACTATGCCACAGGGCTAATGAGATGGTTGGTAGGACCAGTAGTGGAGGTATGGAACACAATTAGAAGTACAGAATTGAGGGGAAAAGAATGGGAATGGTTTTCAATTTGGTTGGTTTGAATGGATTCTTAGACAACCAAGTGGTGCTGTTGAGGGGGCAGTTGGAAATACAATGAAGCTCAGTCTAATTTAGGGCTAGTGAGGGATGGACAGGAGGAAATGGATACAAAAGACAATTCTGAGGTGGAAAGGACAGGATCCAATGGCTGAATGAAAGGGCGAAGGTGAGCGGGGATGTAGGATTGGCTGGGAGGAGAAGAAGAGAGTAAAGCTATCTTGAAGAAAATTTAATACAGGAAGGGCAGCAGTTTTGGGAATGTGCTAGAGAGGACTATGAGAATAATTTTGGTGATATTAACTTTGAGAACCCAGCAGAATCTGTAAGTTGGAAATATGAATCTGGAGTTTGGGAGAGAGGTTGCAGTCAGGGATTCTGATTGAGGTTGCATCGGGTGGTTGAAACCCTGGAAGTGGATGAGAGGGATGAGTAAGGTCAAGTATGAGGGATGCTCAAGAAGAGAAGCAAGCCATGGATTAAATTCTGGGGAGATCCAAGATAAGGGGTGGGGAGAAGGGGAGAAACTAATGAAGGGGACCCAAAGAAAGGAGTGAGCAAGTGGGAGGAGGACAGGAAGACAGATAGATAGATAGACAGATAGATAGAGAAGACAGAAGAGAAAGAGAGAGAGAGGAGAAAGAGAGAAACGGAGAGAGATAAAGAGAGGAGAAAGAGATAGAGAGAAGAAAAAGATAGAGAAAGAGGCAAAAGAGAGAAAGAAGAGAAAGATTTATTTTAAGGAATTGGCTCACTTGATTTTAAGGTCTAGCAAGTTTGAAATTTGAAGGGCAGGCTGCTAGGCTAAAAATTCAGGCAGGATTTGAAGCTTCTCTCTCTCTGTTTCTCTCTCTCTTTAGGCAGGGTCTCACTCTATTAGCCTGGTCTCACTCTATTAGGCTGGAGGGAAGTGGTGCAATCACTGCTCAGTGCAGCCTCGACCTCCTGAGCTAGAGTGATCCTCCTGCTTCAGCCTCCCAAGTAGCTGGGACTACAGGTACAGGCCACTGTGCTGGCTAATTAATTTTTTTTTTCTTTATAGAAAGGGTTTTGACAAGCAATGGGTAAAGAATTTCCTAAATGGTGATGGGATAACTGGCTAGTCATATGCAGAAGATTGAAACTGGACCTCTACCTTACAGTTTATACAAAGTTAACTAAAGATGTATTAAAGACTTAATTGTAAAACCCAAAACTATAAAATCCCTGCAAGACAACCTAGGCAATACCATTCAGGACATAGGCATGGGCAAAGATTTCACGACAAAGATGCCAAAAGCAAAAATTGACAACTGGGATCTAATTAAACTAAAGAGCTTCTGAACAGCAAAAGAAACTATCAACAGAGTAAACAGACAACCTACAGAATGGGAAAACAATTTTGCAAACTGTGATCTAACAAAGATCTAATATCCAGCATCTTATAAGGAACTTATATTTACAAGAAAAAACCAAACAACCCCATTAAAAAGTGAGCAAGGGACATGAACAGACACTTTTCAAAAGAAGACATATATGTGGACAACATTCATATAAAAAAAGCTCAACATCACTGATTATCAGATAAATGCAAATCAAAACCACAATGAAATACCACCTAACACCGGTCAGAATGGGTATTACTAAAAAGTCAAAAAATAACAGATGCTGGAGAAGTTGTGGAGAAAAAGGAACACTTTTACACTGTTGGTGGGAGTGTAAATTAGTTCAGCTATTGTGGAAGACAGTGTGGTGATTCCTCAAAGACCCAAAGACAGAAATATTGTTTGACCCAACAATCGTATGACTGGGTATACACCCAAAGGAATATAAATAATTCTATTATAAAGACACATGCACACACATGTTCACTGCAGCACTATTCACAACGGCAAATATATGGAATCAATCTAAATGCCCATCAATGATAGGCTGGATAAAAAAATATGGTACATATATACCATAGAATACTATGCAGCCATAAAAAAGAATGAGATCATGTCTTTTGCAGGGACATGGATGGAGCTGGAGGCCATTATTCTTAGCAAACTAACACAAGAACAGAAAACCAAACACTGCATGTTCTCACTTATAAGTGGGAGATAAATGATGAGAACACATGGACGCATAGAGGGGAACAGCACACACTGGTGCCTTTTGGAGGGCGGAGGGTAGGAGAAGGGCGAGGATCAAGAAAAACAACTAATGAGCACTAGGCTTAATACCTGGGTGACAAAATACTCTGTACAACAAACACCCATGACACAAGTTTACCTATGTAACAAACTGAACTTAAAAGTTAAAAAAAAAAAAGAGGTTCTTATTATGTTGCCCAGGCTGATCTCAAACTTCTGGACTCAAGTGAACTTCCACCTTGGCCTCCCAAAGTGCCTGGCCTTAGATATTCATACATTTATTTATTTTTAGAGATGTGGTGGGGGTGTGGGGGGTCTCTCTCTGTCACCTGGGCTGGAGTGCAGTGGCCCCATCATAGCTCACTGAAGCCTTGAACTCCTGGACTCAAGCAATCCTCCCACCTAAGCCTGCCGAGTAGCTGGGACTACAGGAGTGCACTACCATGCCGGGCAAACACACTGATTTTAAGTACAACTGTGTGCTTTCAGTCTTAAGATCTTCAGCTTTTGAAGGACCTCAGCCTTCCTCTAGTTCTAACTCCTCTCGTTCTAAGGAGATCCTTCCCATTCCTGCAGAACGTCTCCCCAACCCTTCTTCTTCACAGTTCTCCCTCCTATCCCTGAACCATTGCAAGAGGTTTTGTGCCAAGCCTCTGGCACATGGCACATTCTATCTCATGTTGTGATTTCGTTTTCTATGCACGTGCTCTCCTTCTAGCCTGGAGGTGAGCTGCTTAAGGGCAAAGAGCTCATGTGTAGCCCTTCCTTGTACCCATTGTCCTATAGCAGGTGCTACCTAGGGGGTGCTCCAGTAGCTTCCTTGAATGAACCAAAGAGAAGGGGTGAAGGGGGGAGTCAGTTGCCTAGGAGCTTGCATGGACTTCTGTGTCCTGGAACCAGCCCGGAGCTGCTGGAAGATGCTAGAAGTTGGAATCCTATCTCATTTCTAAACATCTGCTCCCACTCATCTCTTTCCAGGGTCATCAGTTATCCCCACTCCTCCCCCCCGCCCCCACTTTGTATAAATGAGCCCCTCACATCCCTCCATCTTCTCCATCACTGTGTGGTCACTTCTTAAATCATGCGTCTGGAAGGCGCCCTCCTGTACCCCATCCTGGAGGCTTCCTGCACTTCCCCTCTTGTTTCTTCCAGAAATGAGTCAGAGTGAAAGCAAACTTTCTGAGGTCCTGAGATCCCGGAGACAGGCTGTGAGGGCCGCTGGCCCCGCCCGCTCCAGCAGCGTGTGTGTGTATGTCTGTGTGTGTGTGTGTGCGCGCGCGCGCGCGCGTCAGGGGCCAATGCTGGAAAGGAAACAGCGGACTCGCTGAGGAGAAGAAAGGAGCCGCCCCCTTCGTCGCCAGCCCCCTCCCCACTTCCCGTCCAGCGCGCTGCTCCCTTCCCCCCGCCTCTGGCCTCGGGGAAGGAGCAGGAGGCAGCCCAGGCGGAGCGGGAGGAGCTGGCAGCGGGGCGCATGCCAGGCGGGGGTCCTCAGGGCGCCCCAGCCGCCGCCGGCGGCGGCGGCGTGAGCCACCGCGCAGGTAGGGGAGCTGCCACAGAGTCCTAGCACGTCCTGGGGGGGTCCTGGCAAGGAGGGCGCGCTCTGGCCCCCAGGAAGTCGCGTAGGTCAGGGCGTGCCTCTGTTAACAACCCCTTTCGAGGTGAGGGAAACTGAGGCAGGACGCGAGGCGTGCGAGGTTGAGAGAAGAGCGAGTCTTGGGCTGCCAGCCCGGCACCAGCGCCGAGCCGGGCCAGGTCCCTGACCCAGGACTGTGCAGCGATCCCCGGGACCCGCAGTTTGCGAAACTGTAGGAGTCTGACCCGCGCCCCCGCTGCGTGTCCAGGTGACCGGGAAAGGTTGCAGAGGCGTGCTTGGGGTTTGGATCCGTCCCCGTCCTGGGACACCTGCGCCGCCTGCACTCTCGTTGCGGTGCGCCCCAGCCTGCGCCCCCTCGGGACAGGGGACGTCCCGCCCGCCTTAACCCCAAGACCCAGCTGGATCTCGGGTTCCACCCCTTCGGGGACCTGGAGGGAGGAGGCTGGGAGCGGGACCAGGAACTGGTGCCTGTGCCTTCCCTAGGGGCTGCTCTGAAATCAGTGTCACCGCCCACTTCCTACTTGGCTACAGTAACGGGGATGGCCCAAGCCGGAGACTGCTCGGTTTCCACCGCCTGGAGCGCGGGTCTCGCTGTCAACTCTTAGTGATGATTGTGGATGGTTGTTTTTCAACAATGACAGGACTTCTACCTTCTCACTCTTAAAATGTGAGGTTTTCCAAAGACAGTGAGATTTGGAGTTAGGGAGTGCTGCCTTGTGTTCTTGCTGGGTGAGGACAGGGCTGGGTCAGTCGCTTAACCTCTCAGAGCCTCAGTCTCCTGAAATGTAAAGGAGAACACTCATAGCCTGGCCTCCATGTGTCGTTAGGTTTGTTGTATGGGAAATCAATTTGCAAAGTGTTATCATCAACTGGACAAATTTGAATTGGACAGCACTAGGACCATAGGAACTGGGGTTTGGAGACAGTCTGCCTGCATGTCAATCCTGGACATGCAGGAGACTATGACAGTACCTGCTTCATAGGGTTGTTATGCGGTTTAACTGTGATGGTGGAAGTGAAGCACCTCGCCCAATGCCTGAAATACCCAGTGCACTCTCAAAAAACCTTAGTTGCTATTTTTCCTAGGCAAAATCTAAATAATTGGGAGTAATGTGAGAATACCAGTTTGATTTGATTAATGCAGGAATAGTAGGGCATTTAAAAACACATGTAGTTCTCCTGTGCTCGGCATGGTACATGAAGTCCTCTGAGGTTCAGTTCTGTGCCACAGAGCAAAAAGAACCGTGGACAAGATACCCGCTTTTCGGGCTCTTTGACTTTGAGCCTGTTTTCTCATCTGTTTACAAAAAAGATAAAAGAAAAATGGGGGTAGTAATTACTGCCTTTTGTACTGATCGCATTGCCTGAGGATTAAATGAGGCAAAAGATCTGAAAGCACCTTGTGGAGTATGAGTCACTATGCACATATAAGACATGATAGTACTAGGAGGGAATGGTAACATCTGCAGGTTTTTAGAACTTACAATGTGCCAGACATTTTATTATGAATTCCTTTGATGAAATCCTCCCTGCATCTTTATGGGACTGGGATTACAGTCCTCATTTCCCTATGACAAAGCTGAGGTTCAGGGTCACCCTGCTTGGTTCCCAAGCTCACAGAGCTCTTAAGTGTAAAGCCAGGATTAGAACCCTGGTGTGGGTGCCACTCACAACTGTGTTCTTGGCCGCTTGCCAAACTGAACTTATAGAGTGGAGCTGTGATTCAGAACAGACCTATATTAGAATTTAGGTAATTTTTTTTTCTTTAGGAGACAGAGTCTTGCTCTGTCACCCAGGATGGAGTGCAGTGGCACAATCATGGCTCACTGTAGCCTTGAACTCCTGGGCTCAAGAGATCCTCCTGTTCCAGCTTTTTGAGTAGTTGGGATTACAGGCGCATGCCACCATGCCCAGCTAATTTTTTTTTTTAGAGTTGGAGTCTTGCTATGTTGCTCAGGCTGGTCTCGACCTCCTGGCTTCAATCATTCCTCCCACTTTGGCCTCCCAAAGCGCTAGGATTACAGGCATGAGCCACCAGGCCCAACCTCCATCCTGCATATCTATAGACCCAAAATGTAAGAGTGAACTGTTAATCCTGGCAAAAGAGGCTTTGGCATAATTTTAATTTCCCTCAGACTTATTTTATAAAATATACTTTAAACTATCTTCTTGTAAAACAAATGATGACAATTTGCAGAAAAGTTATTAAAACATTGAAAGAACAGGTTGCAAGATCTCATCACAAATCTCTAAGTGGTATCTGGATTGTTTTGTTTTGTTTCAACACTCATTTGCCAGAACCCTTAGGATAGCACATGAGGTGTAACCGGAAATCGAGGCGTTGGGTGTCATGGTTACTTTGCAGGGCTGGGCCCCGGGACTTTTCTGCAGGAAGTTCATTGCTCACCCAAGATGCCTCCAGAAGAAAGCAGAAACTTCCGAGAGGAGCGTGAATGCTCTGTTTCTGTGCTGCAGAAACAATTCCTAGTTTATTTGTTTCCTAAATTAAGTTTATCTTATTGGTTTTTGTTTTTCCAAAAGCAATGCATGCTCATTACAGGAAGCACAGAAAGCTACAAACAAGTAAGTGAACACTAAAAAATACTGTAATCTCACCAAGGTAGACAAATAGCTTGGTGTCTCTGTCCTTGTAACCCATTTCTATGCTGCATGCATCCATCCAAAAGTGAGAGGCAAACTATTATTGTTTTTTGTTAAATGACAAAAATAGTACTTGCTAATTGCTCAAACATTATGACATTAATGTAGAACAAAGCCAATTTATTATGCTCATTAAAACTTTTTCTTTTTTTAAAATCTAAAAATTTTGATTGGAGAAGGATTAGAGACTAAATTGTTGATATTTGAATTTTATTGTGGTTTTGGTTAAAGTTTGATGCAGGACCTTCAGAGCAAAGAGAGGGTACAATGGTGACCTTTAAACAATATATATATTTTTTGAGACGGAGTCTCGTTCTGTCGCCAGGCTGGAGTGCAGTGGCACGATCTCGGCTCACTGCAACCTCTGCCTCCTGGGTTCAAGCGATTCTCCTGCCTCAGCCTCTCGAGTAGTGGGATTACAGGCGCCCACCACCACATCCAGCTAATTTTTGTATTTTTAATACAGACAGGGTTTCACCATGTTGATCAGCATGGTCTCGATCTCCTGACCTTGTAATCTGCCCGCCTCAGCCTCCCAAAGTGCTGGGATTACAGGCATGAGCCACTGCGCCGGGCCCTTTAAACAAGATTTAAAGACCAGCACACAAAGTTTCTGAGTACAAAAAAAGGTAATATTTTAGGTTAGGGTCATTAGACCAGAATTAGAATCATTCTTTTTTTTTCTTTTTTTAATTAAAAAAGATGGGGTCTCCTTATTTTGGCCAGATTGACCTTGAGCCTCAAGCAACTTCTGCCTCGACCTCCCAAAGTACCAGGATTACAGATGTGAACCATTGCACCTGGCCAGAATCATTCTTTTGATAATAATGATGGTAATTGAGTTTATATGCTGTGTTCTCATGAATCCAAGCAGAGCCCACTGTTTCCAGAGATTCCCTTGGCAGCCACCCTGGGTTGAGGAGGGTCCCCTCCTGGCACAGCTGGAACCACCGGTGAAGAGCCATTTTTCAGTCAGCACCGTTTAGTAATATAAGACTTTTAGCCTCGAGGAGTCTTCCGTTGTTAGTTCCTAACTTTAATGACTTTGTGGTAAAAATTCCTTAGCGAATGACTTCTGTGCAACAATCATGTAATTTTTAAAATTCCAGATGCTTTAGCCGTTCAGAATCCATTTTTTCTTTCAAAACCAGAGTTCACCAGCTGTTTCTCTTGAGCGAAGACTTTGCAATGAGCTTTCAAATGTTCACACCAAGTAGAAGCAGGAAGGGAGAACTGTGGCTGGGCAATGAATGAAATACTGACATTTAGCTGTAGAAGGTAGGCAGGGGCTCACATGGTGTGCACAGCCCCTTATATGACTACTGGTCCTGTATCTGCTTCCTTTCCCTGCCCCATTTCCCCTTTGGCTTTTTGTCATGACTCAGAAATGGATGCTAGACATTATGGGGCTCCCTCCAGTCACTCGGGTCACTCGTCACAGACTTATAAACAGAATCACAGAACTTATTGTCAGATGAAGCTTCAAAACACCAGTTGGCTAAACTCCTTGTGTTCTGGCAGGTAAGATGTCGGCATCCTTATTTAACAAATGATGCTACTGAGAACTATGTATGCAGAGACATAGTCTCAAAATAAGTGCAGTCATGCCTCGCATAATGACGTTTTGTCAATGTCACATATGTGAGAGTGGTCCCATAAGATTATACTGGGCTGTCAATTTCCTAATGCCTAGTATTTACTATACATTTTAATGTTATTTTGTGTACTTCTACTTAGTAAAAAAAAGTTAACTGTAAACCCGCCTCAGGCAGGTCCTTCAGGAGGTATCAGAAGAAGGCATTGTTGTCATAGGAGATGATGGCTCCATGCGTGTTTTTGCCTTGAAGGCCTTCCAACGGGACAAGGTGTGGAGGTGGAAGGCAGGGATAGTGATGATCCTGACCCTGGGTAGGCCCAGGCTAGTGTGTGTGTTTGTGTCTTAGTTTTTAACAAAAAGTTTGAAAAGTAAAAAAATAAAAATTAAAAATAGGAGCTTATAGGATAATAAGGATATAAAGAAAAAATATTTTTGTACAGCTGCACAATGTATTTGTGTTTTAAGCTGTGTTTTTATAAAAAAGTCAAAAAATTAAAAAAATTTAAAAATTATTATATATAAAGTAAAAAAAGTTATGGTACGCTAAAGATAATTTATTGTTGAGAAAAAAATTTAAATGAATTTAGTATAGCCTAAGTGTACAGCGTTTATAAATACAGTAGCATGAAATTATGTCCTCAACCCTCACGTGCACTCACCACTCACTCACTGACTCACCCAGAGCAACTTCCAGTCCTGCAAGCTCCATGCATGATAAGCCTCCTATAGAGGTGTACCATTTTTCATCTTTTATAGTGTATTTTTACTGTACCTTGTCTATGTTTAGATATGTTTAGATGGAAAAGTACTTACCATTGTGTTACGGCTGCCTACAGTATTCAGTACAGTAACATGCTGCACAGGTTTGTAGCCTAGGAACAGTAGCTATACAATATAGCTTAGGTGTGTCATAGCCTATACCATCTAGGTTTTTGTGAGTACACTCTATGGTGTTTGCATGACAAAATGACCTAATGACACATTTCTCAGAAAGTGTCCCTGTCAATAAGTGATGCATGACTGTGATTGAAATAAGTAGCCCCACATTATTTTTCTCATGTCAACTTCAGGTTAATTTTCCAGCCACGTGGCCTTGTGCTTGCTCATCATAAAAAAATGTGGATAAAATTCTACCTGTTAAGCCACAACATTTGCCTGTCATGGGTGGACATTTACCGTTTATTTTCAGAGTTCAAAGTTTGAACTCTCAGAGAAATGCAAATAAGACAGTAAACTCCTCGAGGTGAGGAATGGCAATCTCTGAAGATAAATCATATATTTATTGTACAGTATTGAATGTTGTAAGTGGCAGTAGAGATCATGTAATCTGGCCTTCTTCTTTTACAGGTGAGAAAAGTGAGAAACAGCAGCAGAGTGATTGTTAGAACCTGGCTCCTCTTCTTTTACTTAGAACTGTTTTCATTAAGTTGTGTTTCATTTCATAGTTCTGTATAATTCATCCCTGCTTAAGATACATTAAATGAATTGAACTGAATCCCTTTTTTTTGAGCTATGATGGCTCTTAAAAACTTAGATTTTCAGCCAGGCGCAGTGGCTCATGCCTGTAATTCCAGCAGTTTGGGAGGCCAAGGTGGGCAGATGACCTGAGGTCAGGAGTTCGAGACCATCCTGGCCAACATGGCAGAAACCCATCTCTACTTAAAATACAAAAATCAGCTGAGCATGGTGGCGTGTGCCTGTAATCCCAGCTACTTGGGAGGCTGAGGCTGGAGAATCGCTTGAACCTGGGAGGCAGAGGTTGCAGTGAGCCAAGATCATGTCACTGCACTCCAGCCTGGGCTACAGAGAGAGACTCCGTCAAAAAAACAAACAAACAAAAAACCACGTAGATTTTCAAGTAATTACTATTGTTACACTAAATGTCAATGGATCCTTAAGAATCTATTTGTTCATGAATTCATTATTTATTCATTCAACGTTTATTGAGTGGCTACTTGGTTCAGAATTAGAATTAGCATGACAGCCACACATTAGAAAGGTATCACTTTTTGACTAAATTAAAAACTTGCTAAAAATAGTTATCCATTGATGGAATAGGCTACCCCGAAAGGCAGAGAGCATTTTGTCATTGGAAGTATGTAGGGCAGTGTGGATGACTCTAGGGTGACTGTCATGAGGGTTCTGCACTGGGGAGGGGGCTGCGTTGGATGATGAATGGGAACCCTTCCAGTGCTAAGATGCTGTGATCGTTGTCCTGCAGGATTGGGATTGTGCAGGATTTGAGCTACTGTGTAAATTTCCTATTCCCTGCTCATTGGGCTTCCACATTTTGCTTCCTTCCCTTGCCCAGGTGGTTCCATTTCAGGAAGCCTAGATAGCTTCTTTGCAGTCATCTGCCCGAATGTCGTAGCTACTTTAACTCCCCAGAGCTGTACATGTCTAGGATTGATATTGATCATTAACACAATTATGTTCGCCCAGATGAACAAATCTACCAGGAGTAGAAACGTGCATTTGACAGGTGGCCTTGCATGGAGACTAATCGCTTTCACAGGTTGAAAGGTGAAATATCTAAAGTTTAATGAGTAAGTTGTGTCCTGAATGTGGAATCTGAGTTGAAATTGCATTTTGTGACATGTACGCCTACCTAACTTTTCTTTTTCATACCTGTCATCTTTTTTTTTTTTTTTTTGAAACGGAGTCTTGCTCTGTAGCCCAGGCTGGAGTGCAGTGGCGCAGTCTTGGCTCACTGCAACCTCCGCCTCCCAGGTTCAAGCAATTCTTCTGCCTCAGCCTCCCAAGTACCTGGGATTACAGGCATGCCCCACCACGTGCAGCTAATTTTTGTATTTTTAGTAGAGACAGAGTTTCACCATGTCGGCCAGGCTGGTCTTGAGCTCCTAAACTCAAGTGATCCGCCTGCCTCGGCTTCTCAAAGTGCTGGGATTACAGGAGTGAGCCACCGCGCCTGGCCTGTACCTGTCATCTCTTGGTTTGTGAGTGGATTGATTATTGGACTTTATTTTTAACACAGGAGAATGTGCGTGTTTTGCATTTGTAGTGAAAGCATGCCTCATCTTACTCCAACACTGATAGGAAAAGGAAGATTATTTTACAATGGTCAAGTGAAAAAAAAAGTAAATACAGAGATAAAACGGGGTTCTAATATTTCTGCTACACTGGAAACTTAGAGTTGCAAGAGCTGTTTTGGGATCACAAATCTTCTGAAGAAAAAAAGTTTGCGTATTTCAGTACAAGTCTTAATGTTTCCCTAGCGTCTTGTGTTATAGCTGCAGGCCAAGCAAAATGAAATGTGAGACACTGTCCTTGGGGATAGAGCATCTGTATTCAATTTAAACAGTAGATTTGGGGGCCTTAAATTGCCTCGACTCTATTAATCATTTTGTGTTCCTTAGTTTATAGAATTATCTCCTAGAGACATTAACTTATCCATTAATTTCTTCCATTGTGTTTATTTATTCATTCACAAACACTAGCACCTACTGTATACACAGTACAGTGTTGTACATTGCAGGGTACTTAAAAATGTAGAGTGCCAGGCATGGTGGTGCATGCCTATAGTCCCAGCTCCTTGGAAGGCTGGGGCGGGAGGATTGCTTGAGGCCAGGAGTTCAAGGTGGCAGTGCGCTATGCTTGTGCCTACAAATAGCCACTGCACTCCAGCCTGGACAACATAGCAAGACCCTGTCTCAAAAAAAAAATGAAAAAACTCCCCCAAAACCAAAAATGTAGATTGTTCTCAAGGGCCATCCAGTCTAGAGAGAACTAAGGGAGCCTGGTATTCTTAGGCCTTAGAGCTTAACAGCCACACCTAGGATGCCTCTTCAGAAGGTGTTCCAGCCCTTCCTGTGTCTTCCCAGTTCTGATACTGGATTATGTCATTATGTCTCTGTTGAGTAACTCCTTCCAATCAGGCCTGCACACTGCTGCCAGGACAGTCCTCACAAAGCACAGATCTGATTGGGTTATTGTTCCTCTGTGGAAGGGGCTTTCAGAGACTCATTATCTCCCCCCAAGCAAATTCTTAGCATCTCTTTTCAAGCTTTCCATACACTGGCCCTTAAACACTTAAAACGGACACTCTGGCCTTTTTATTATGCACATTATTCTGCCCACCGAGAATATTACAGAATCCGTCTTTCTTGCTCCCAATCTGAACGCATCAAAATGTCATCCCTCATTTACCACCTAGCAAATCAATAATGCTTCTCAGCCTTCCCTGGTTCTCTGGAATCGTCTGCTCTCTCCTTCTTCTGTTATAGTTTGTTATGGATATAACCTGTTTTTCTGACTCCAATGTAGACTTCTTCAACTCAAGGTTTCAGTTCTGGTTTATCTCCTTACTCCCTCATCTATGTAGTACACTTATGGTTTACTCTGTTCTCACTGGATTAGACCAAACTCTTAATTATATTTAGGATGTATTAATCCAATGCATAGATTAACCAAGTCTATTATTTTTATATCTTTTGAAACCAATCAGGAGTTTCAGAAGTTCAGTTCAGTTTAAATATTTATTGAGATGCATACACTATATAGTCAGATACTATGATAGCTCTTGAATATAAAAAATATATATACTTATGTTTGTATATATATGTGTAAATTGATATGTAAATTCAAATAGATAGTGTTGTCTACACCATTGAGAAGCCTATAGTCCCGTGGAAAAAAGAGAATTCATTCTCATGAAGTTTCCGGATATTGTTTCATCAGAAGGACTGGGCACATCGGGGTGTACTAAAATCATTAAGAAGTATTTAGCACCAGTAGATGCCTAATAAATACCTTACAGTCTAGATGGATGGATAGATGGAGGAAGAAAGAAGGGCTCCTTTAATTTATAATTTACCTATTGCTGGGTTTACTCCTAGGTATGACAATTTTGAAAACAATTTACTCAATGTTTATTTCCACACTGTGTATGAAATATGCTGCTCTTCATTCAGAAAGAGATATATAATTCTCCATTTGTAGAACACTGAGTTAATTTCATGGTTGTGATGTTGCTTTTGCTTACTTTCACCCACATTTTCTCCTCTGTAGGGTGGCAGCTCCGTAGGGTGGACACACGCTTTGGGAGACCTGCAGCTGTTTGTGTCTGGGGGCAATGGTGAAGGGCAGTGACTCATTGGCCCAGAACTCATGATCTCATCTCTCACCCAGCTGGCTAATCGGCCTTGGGGACAGGAGGATGAGCGCTGCACTCCCTCCTAATCATGCAGCTTTTGTATGTCTTTCTTTACTTGACTTAAATTGTAATTTGAATGGAAAAATGGACAAATTCTATCATTTGAATTTAACTTTTATATATTTTCTTGACTCTGATTTGGGATTATCTAAGTGCATTTATTCAAATATTTATTGTGTTTTTGAAACTTTTTTTGAAAAGCATAAGGTAATACATGATAAAAGATATTGTTATTACCCCTGTTTCTGCCATTTCAAGGAGTCAGAACAGGCTCAGTGGAAACAAAATGAGATGTCTTATGGGAGTTACTTTCCCTTCAGCTAATCTTGGTATGAATTTATATTGACACTACCTTTAAAATTTTATTCTGCTTTTTAAATTTTACTTTAAGTTCTGGGATACATGTGCAGAACATGCAGGTTTGTTACATAGGTATACATGTGCCATGGTGGTTTGCTGCACCTATCAACTTGTCATCTAGGTTTTAAGCCCCACATGCATTAGGTATTTGTCCTGATGCTCTCCCTCCCCTTGACCCCTACCCCCCAGCAGGCCCTGGTATGTGATGTTCCCCTCCCTGTGTCCATGTGTTCTCATTGTTCAATTCCCACTTATGAGTGAGAACATGGGGTGTTTGGTTTTCTGTTCCTGTGTTAGTTTGCTGAGAATGATGGTTTCCAGCTTCATCCATGTCCCTGCAAAGGACATGAACTCATCCTTTTTTATGGTTGCATAGTATTCCTTGGTGTATATGTGCCACATTTTCTTTACCCGGTCTATCATTGATGGGCATTTGGGTTGGTTCTAAGTCTTTGCTATTGTACATAGTGCTGCAGTAAACATACGTGTGCATGTATCTTTATAGTAGAATGATTTACAAGCCTTTGGGTATACACCCAGTAATGGGATTGCTCGGTCAAATGATTAGTTTTTTATTTATATAAATTTATGGGGTACAGTGCAATTTCATTACATGCATAGTTTGCCTAATGGTCAAGTCGGGGCTTTTAGGATGTCCATCACCCAAATAATGTACATTGTACCCATTGAGTAATTTCTCATCCTTCACTCCTCCTATCCTCACCCTTCTGAGTCTCCATTGTCTGTTATTCCACTTTCTACATCCACGTGTGGACATGATTTAGCTCCCACTTGTAGGTGAGACCATGTGATATTTGTGTTTCTGTGTCTGACTTGTTTCATTTAAGATAACGGTTTCCAGTTCCATCGATGTTGTTGGAAAAGGCATGAGTTCATTTTGTATGGCTGAATAGTTTTCCCTTTTGTATGTATACCGTATTTTCTTTATCCAGTTCTCTGTTGATGAACATCTAGGTTGATTCCATATCTTTGCTGTTGTGAATATTGCTGTGATAAACATGTGAGTCCAGGTATTTTTCTGATACATTGATTTATTTTCCTTTGGGTAGATACACAATAGTAGGATTGCTATATTAAATGGTAGTTTTATTTTTAGTTCTTTGAGAAATCTCCATACTTTTTTCCATAGAGATTTTAATAATTTACATTCTCACCAATAGTGTTTAAAATTTCCCTTTTCACTTTTCACTGCATTCTCTTCAATATCTGTTATTTTTTGACTTTTTAATAATGGCCATTCTGACTGGCATAAGATGACATCTCATTGTGGTTTCAATTTGCATTTCTTTGATTAGTAGTAATGTTGAACATGTTTTCCATTTGTATGTCTTCTTTTGAAAAATGTCTATTCATGTCCTTTTCACACTTTTTAATGGAATTATTTTGTTGTTGTTGTTGAATTGTTTGGGTTCCTTGCATATTCTGGATATTGTTGGATGCATAGTTTGCAAATATTTTCTCACATTCTGCAGGTTGTCTCTTAAGTCTGTTGATTATTTCCTTTGCTCTGCAGAAGCTTTTTAGTTTAACTAAGTACCATTTCCCTATGCTTTTTTGTTGTTGTTGTTGTTGCCTGTGCTTTTGAGGTCTTAGTCATGAATTCTTTGCATAGACCAATGTTCAGAAGAGTTTTCCCTCAGTTTTCTTCTAGTATGTTTATAGTTTTGGGTCTTATTTATAAGACTTTAATTCATCTTTAGTTGAATTTAGTTTTGTATATGATGAGGTATAGGGGTCCAGTTTCATTCTTCTGCATATGGCCATCCAATTTCCCCAGTATCATTTATTGAAAGGGGTGTCCTTTGCCCAGTGTATGTTCTTGTCAATGTTGTCAAAGATCAGTTGGTTGTAAATATGTGGCTTTA